>NC_000013.11:88980251-89283282 GCF_000001405.40 Homo sapiens | reverse complement strand
ATTTACTAAAAATCCTTCCATTACATTGTATTAAATATGCATGAACTGGCCAGGCGCGGTGGCTCACGCCTGTAATCCCAGCACTTTGGGAGGCCGAGGCGGGTGGATCACGATGTCAGGAGATGGAGACCATCCTGGCTAACACGGTGAAACCCCGTCTCTACTAAAAAATACAAAAAATTAGCCGGGCGTAGTGGCGGGCGCCTGTGGTCCCAGCTACTTGGGAGGCTGAGGCAGGAGAATGGTGTGAACCTGGGAGGCGGAGCTTAGAGTGAGCGGAGATGCACCACTGCACTCCAGCCTGGGTGACAGAGCGAGACTCCATCTCAAAATAAATAAATAAATAAATAAAATAAAATAAAATGCATGAACTTGCATTACATATGAATCAAATCAACTACATGCAAGTTATACCTTAGAAAAGCTGTTAAAGGTAAATAACAGAATATAAAAAAGTCCCTATATGCCCATGTAATTGACATGATATTGCTAAACCAATCAGTGGCATGCATCTTAACATTAAAAAAATTTATAAACATACAAAAACTTGATAACTGATTGGTCATTGTATTAGTTTCTTAGGTCTGCAATAGCAGGTTATTATAAATTTGATGGGTTAAAATAAGAGAAATTCATTCTCTAATAGTTCTGGTAGTTAAAAGTCTGGAATCAATGTGTTGGCAATCAAGGTTTTGGTAAGGCCATGCTCCCTGTAAAGTCAGTCTCTGGGGTAGAAGTCTTTTTGTCTCTTGCAGGTTCTGATGGCCCAGAGAGTCCTTGATTTATGGCAGCATAACTCAATTCTCTGACCCCATCTTCACATGGCCTCCTCTCTGTGTTTCTCTGAGTGAAGTCTTCTTTTATAATGATACCAGTTATTGAATTTAGGGCCCTCCATAATCCAGTATGATCTCAACTTAACTAATTACATCTGCAAAACCCTATTTCCAAATAAGGTAACATTCTGAGATTCTAGATGCATGTGGATTTTGGGAGGATATTGTTCAACCGACTAAAGCCCTGGTAAGAATATTGCCTCCTTCAAAATTCAAGAATATTATATGAAATGCCCTAGGAAAACATTCAATAATCTTTTGCAAAAATGTTATAAAAGAGTATGCTTTGGTTGTTTCAATAAAATGAATTTGTTGTAGTGGTTTTCACTGTGGCCACTATTGAGTTATTTAATTATTTTTCCAGGAATAATTCATTTGCATTCTCACACATATTCAACTAAGTCAAAAATAAAATTTGGAAAGAAGAGTGTCAATGGATCAATGCCAACACATTAAATTATTGACTCGTTTTGTTTTTTGACCGAAGAGTTTAATTTTCTCAGCAACTTGAGCCAATTTATCTCTGCTTATAGCCATGGCCTCACGCTCTGCTGTAGAAAAGCATTTCTCACTAGTTCCACAGGAAATTAATAGACACGCTGTGAATGATGGGTTCGTTAATTAAATATAGTCAGAGAAAAACTGCGTTCAACAAAGCAGGTTCATTCCTGTCAAACTTCAAATAGCTTTAAATTTGCTAACCTGTATTATGACACACTGAGGGTGGAATCAGTTATGCAGTGTTTTATAAGTTTACTTGAAACGAAACTCCTGTTGGATGGAATATCACATACAACTGTGAAAAATTATGTGCCTATGCCATCCCTTAGGTAAGAGACGATTATGTCATTACTGCGGCAAATCCACCTCCAAATTTGTGATCCAATTTTAGTAAATGGTCTCCCCTCTTGTTTCTAAATGTAAAGCTGCACTTTCCTCCCAGTTCATGGTAATTGGATATCCATCCACAGCTGAAGTTTTGATCTTGATAAACTAATAACACCAAGTGATTTAAAGGGGAGTCCTGCCTTGCATTTGTCAATTCTTTTTAAGCAATGTCACACCTTAAACCAAAAACTGTGCAGCTTCTGAGTGCATGATTACAGACCTTTTGAACACACATTTCTTAATATTGTCATCTTGACCATATTCCAGGATAACAATTAATTTTACTCTAGTTCCCTCAGCCCAGTTGCTCTCCGGGTCTGTCACCACATGCTGGATCTCCCCATGGATCTTGTTACCATATCATGTTATTTCATCTCAGCTTTTAAAATTCAAATATGCACCTCTTTTCCTCATTTCGTATCCTTCTAGAAATTTCACCATGTCACTTTCATCTCCTTTTTTCTTTATATGTTCTATTAAATCTAGGTTCTTTTTTCGCCACCACGTCCCACCCCAACTATTCAAAAATATTTGTTTAAAAAAATCAATTGAGTTAAAAAATAAAATGATGGACAGTTTTAGGTTTTTCACCAAATCAGTTATTTATTTTCTTCAGTAAGAACAATTATAACATGTCAGGTGCTCCTCTAGGAGCCAGGAATACAGTGATAAAAGAGAAAAATGTCATTGCACTTACAGTTCTTACATTTTGGTAGAGGAGAAAGACAATAATCAAGATAAATATAGTATAACAATCAGTGCAAAATTATAAGGAGAACAAATCACATCAGGAGAGGGCATATAGAATATCTGGAAAATACACTGAAGTTTTAGGTAGAGTGGGAAGGCAATACTTTCCAGGGAAGTCTTTTCATATGGAAGGTGACTTTGCAGAAGAACAGAGCAAAATAAGGGAGCCTGTTGTGCTTACATAGATGAAAGTTATTGAAAAGAAAAGGAACAAGTGTGTGGAGAAATGTGCCTTGTAAATAATGCCCAGTAAGTTTCCCATCACGTTTAAGCATAATGATGATAGAAAGAATACACTCAAAATTTTCAGAAAAATAAATGGTTTACTTATGAAGGAAAAGTAAAAGAAAAATCATAACAGATAATACAACATTTAAAATTTTTGCTGAATGTTCCTTGTTTATTTTAGTTGTTTCTGTTCGTTGCACTTTCTTTGTGTATTTTTTCCACCTACTCCATCTCTCTTATGGTGTTGGTGTTTTTAAACAGCCTTGAGACCCTTATAAACTATTTTCCCTGAATTTACGAGCTGACTTTGTGGGCAGTATACTAGGGAAGTGTTTGTTGATGGTTGACTGCATCTTTGGATGAGTAAGGAGAAGTAAATAGAAGGGTTTGATCCCGTTACCTTCATTCCAATGCCAAATACGGAAGACTTAATTATGGTTACTGTGCCCATCATTTAAAAAAATCGGTAAATCATTTTGAAATGTTTTCCCTTATTTTAGCCTAAAGACAAATGATGCAAATCTCAGGGTGTGTGTGTGTGTGTGTGTGTGTGTGTGTGTGTTTGCATGCATGTCAGGGAGAGGAAGATAAAGGAGGATTTTGCAGTCATCGCACAGTCAGATTTGTAAGTCCATAATTTTTTCTTTGGACATTTCTGAAGAATTTCCTGGGAAGAATCACTTGTATAATTTCTCCATGTTTTCTGAAATGTGGCTATCTCCCTTCTGTTCTGTCTCTTTATATATTTATATCATCTTTACTTGCTCCTAAAATTTTGTCAAAATCTTTAGACCACAGACCACTTCCAAATCAATTGTTTCCAAGAGGATTGAAATCCAATCTCCTTCTTGTATTTCTGCTGTCATTTATATGAATTTTCAGAGGATGATTGCTCTGAACATTTTCTGTTCACCCTGTTGGTGAAGAAGGAATCCCTCATTATAAATAGTACAAGGCGGTTGAACACAGGACACTTGACAATGAACAGATGCAGTTAGCAGCAGATTATTAGTCACGTTTACTCACAGCCCAAGAAAGGAGAATGCCACGTGCAGTGCAAGGCTACACTCAGGAGCAGAGTGAAACAGGAGGGATGTGAGAGGCAGGCTTTGTATTAATAGGAAGGTGGGGTGCAACCTGGTTCTCATGAGGGTTGTGACTGACTGGGTTGAATCGGATCTTGTGCAGGCGGGAAGGTTGAGGACCAAGCTGGGTGCAGGTGGTTCGGCTGAAAATGGACCTAGCTGGATGGGGAGGCTTTGCTGGTGAGTGGGAGGGCATGTTTGATAAGAGAAAAGGTTGTAGCACTAAGAATTCGGAGTTCTCAGAGGTTCAGAGGTCAAAGGCAGCATACGGAATGTTGGGTCTTACAATGCAGAGATGATCTATTTACTATTTGGATAGAACCTTATCTTTTTTTTCAATTTGTACAGACTCATAGAAGAGTTTGTAGTATTTGAGAATGCTGTAGTATTTTATCATTTTTACTTTATTTGCTTATGAATACAGCTGCCTGTTCTTTCTCTCTGTTTATTCCTGTAGATTTTTCTTCAAAATTACCTACTCATGTTCTATTGTGACAAGGTACCCCTGTGTCTAAACCTAAACATCTTCATTTCATCTTCTCTATCTTCTGAATGTCCTCTCTCCTTCCAAATATTTTCTGAATAGTTTTGAACTTCAAATATTTGATGTTGTTCTTTTCACGCTACTCATTCTTTTGAGTGATTACTCTCTTTCTTTCTTGTATCAATTAACAACCAAGGCCGATAATTCTTCAAACTCGATCTTGATTATTCCCAAAGTTATGCTCACTTTATTTTAAACATTTATAATTTCCTTTCTCACAGGCTACTCAAAAGAAACATGTGTGAAACTTAAATTATCATTTTTTTAAACAGTATTGGTGTGAGGAGTCCAACTCCTGGTTAAAAACCTACTTACTATTTTCCAGGTGTGACCACAAATGATTACAAAAGGTTTATGTGACAGGCCTCGAAGTGGAAGCTGCCCTTTCCACAGCAGGCTTGACGCCCATCCAGAGGATGGCAGTGTCCAAGGGGAATGGCAGAAAAGGACTCAGGCCAGGCTGCTCCGGTCCATCAAGTTCTTCCGCCATTTGCATTCCAAGCCCAGGCACCTTCATTCCTAGGTGTCTTTCTCTGAGGCTTTAGGTGGAGGCCTTCTTCAAGCACCTCTGCTAAGCCTCCTTACTGGAGGAAAGACAGGGAAAACATGAAGACAATTTCCACACTTTTCTAGTACTTTTCCACTCCTAACTCTCTCCTGCATCATCATTCCAGGGTCCATACAACTGCAGGAGCCTTTCAGGTTCCCTCAACTGAGGGGACCTCCGTACCCATGCTGACCCTTCGCTGAGGCACAACTCTATGAGGTAAAATAAAACAGGTTTTCATCAGTGTTTTCTCCAGTTTTAGCTTCTTCCACTACAGAAAATGATTAAAGGCTTAATTTTTTTGTGTTTGGCTTGTTGCTTTTATAGACTATGCTGATATTTGCCAGATCAGCTCTCCCCCACCTCAGCTGGGCTCCTGACAGTCGCCTAAACTCTTTACTGCATTTTTTGCAGCATCATATATTTTCACCCTAGTTAATATACCAAGAGATATATTTGACTTGCCCCAAATGTTTACTACCCACTAACAGTAGTTCAAATTCTGTCCACTTGGCTTCCTAAATATTGTAATTCTATACTGAATTCAACCTTTCCTTCTGAGCACTTCTAATATCACCTAAATCCAGTCTTCATTCTTTAATTCCTGGCCTCCAGAAAAGAAATCATAAATGTACTCAGAGTTATCTACAAATCTATCTATACTGTAGACATGGTGACAAATTCAAAACACAGAACCTGACATATATCTTCTCACCCTACCAAATCACTGCAGTTGGATGAAATCTTAGCTTATCATTATGGTTTGGACATTTTTACTTTTTCTGCCTCATAACTCACTGGTCTTTTCTATTTACATTATTTTCCAAAAGGACTGAAATTCTTCCATAGTCAAAATGTATTTTAATTTTTAAAATCATTTATTTACTTATTTAATTTTACTTCTGTGGTTATACTCATGCTATCACCATTGCTTAAAATAATTTACTGCCTCTTTTTAAAAAAAAATAAAAAATATTTTATAGGTACATACTAGGTATATATATTCATGGGGTACATGAGATATTTTGATACAAGCATGCAATTTGTAATAATCACATCAGGGTAAATGGGGTAACCATCACTGCAAGCATTTATCATTTATCATTTCTTTCTGTTTCAAATATTCCAATTATATACTCAGTTATTTTAAACTATACATTAAATTATTGTTGACTATAGTCACCCTGTTGTGCTATCAAATTCTAGATCTTATTCCTTCTAATTAATTGCCTCTTTACCATAAATAAATAATCTCATTTATCAAATCCAGAAAGGAAAGTTCTGTTTGTGTGTGTGTGTGCACACATGTGTGTGTATAAAACAAACCAGCATTAATCACCAGCAGGAGATTCTTAGTGCAAGGAAAAATATACTGGCAGAAGGATCAGCAAAATTACAGGAGGGACCCACTCAGCACAGGAAAGAGTCGAGAGATGGGAGTGAATGTCAAAAGCTACCAGATGGTGGAAGGAGTAAGGAACAGATTTTTCCTTTAAGCCTCTGGGGGTAGTAGAACCCTGAAAACACCTTGATTTCCACCCAGGGAAACTGATTTCAAAGTTTTGGCCTCTAATACTGTGAGATAATAAATTTCTGTTATTTTAAGCCACTAAGTTTATGGTAACTTACTACAGCAGCTATAGGAAAATAATGTAGATTTATTGGCCAAATTCAGCCAATTGCCTGTTTTTGTACAGCCCAAAATTTTGAGTGTTTCAAATATTTTTAAATGGCTGAAAAAAATCAAATAGAGATAATATCTGACTTGTGAAAATTGCATGAAATTCAAATTCGATAGTCCTCAAAGTTTTGTTGGAATATACCCAGGCTCCCCTTTACGTCGTCTGTAGCAGCTTTCATGCTAAATAGTAGAGCTTTGCAGTTGTTGCAGAGAAGAGTGTGTCCTGCAAGGCTGAAAATATATGCTCTCTGGTCTTTCACAGAAATGACTTGCTGTCCCTTGTACTGGTTTATTTTATAATTACCACTTTCTATGTTTATCCTTTTCATTAAATTGTGAATTACTTGAGGACCAACATTTTACACACAGTCCAAGTTAAACAAATATTTAAAGACTCAGTAAACTTTTTCTTGTCTCTGAACAATAAAAGAATTGCATTCTAATGTCAAATACCAAAGTATCTAAGAATTACTTATAGTTTTCTTAATTTCAAGGCTTTTATATTTTTACCATATTCTAAATGATGGTGGGAATTTAGAATGATGAAATTACTTGGACTAAAACATCTAATATCATCCTGTAAGGAATCAAGATGCCTTGCAATAGATGAATTTTGAGATTATTAAAAATTTCATAATGTTGGTAATGACAAAATAAATAGAAACAAAAGAGTAAATGTGAGAAAAATTTAAAAGGTGTCATCAATAAGAAAAGTTGCATAGCTTCCTATAAGATGTTTATTAAGATAACAAATAAATTATGTTTAAGGACCAAAAGTTTTAATAAAACACTGATTTTTAATTTGAACTGAGGATACTTGAGACTTAAATATTTAGATTTTTAAATATGGTAGAGACACACTAATTAAAGATGAAAGAGCATAAAATATTAACCAACATACAATGTTATGGTTTAAGATATTATTGAAGAGTTCACAATTTTATATCATTCTGTAATTCATGCTTTATTGCTAATTGACTTTTCCTAAATGACAAACTTGTAATTGGTAGTTACTGAAACACATATTCTCAAAGGTCGTGAAACCCTAGAGAACCCTGAGTGAGAAAACTTTCTCATAAGATATAGTTATACCTGAAGTCAGCATAAAACCAAGCTTTGTACTTTATCAACTTATGAAGTTTAAAGGTTATGCTAATACAAAATGGATATTCATTTTTATAAAAGAGTTCAAAAGAAAAAAAAAGTCAAACACTGCTCAATAGAAAGAAATGAAGAGGAACTGGAAAACTTTAACATCATCTTACTAGCCTCTAAGTTTAAAATTGACATTAAACTATTGAGCATAGAGAACTATAAAATAATTTTGTTGTTCATTTGCTCATATGGTGAAGTGGCTTTTGCACAATTCCACAGCGGAATATGTATTGAACTCTCTCAATTCATTTCATATTTATTACCTCTTCTTTTACAAGAATGCAAAGTATTCTTTTGTTACTGGAAACATGAATTATATTTGCGCTTGCAAAGAGGAGGAGGAATTTTCTGCCCTTAACTAAGAATCACACATTTTTTAGGCACAAATCCATGTGTTCAATACCAATGGTAAATTAGCTTTGGAAAGCTGTAACTTAGAGGCTAGAAAAGGCATCAATGGTGGCCCATTCATTTTTCTACTTAAAGTATTTTTTATTTTCTCTCCTCTTTTTATCCTATCATATTTTCTTAACTCACAGTTAATTTATACAAACTAAATGTTTATTTCCCAAAAAACATGTGTACCGTAATTGTCATGTTACTAAGTCTCAATGATACTTTTTTAGATGACAGTAAGGCCACAGTTTATTGTGGGAAACAGGCACATATTAAATATTTAGAATAGAATATAGTTTTTCATTAAAAAATATAAAGAGCAGTAGGTTTAATTATCTATCGAATTGTGCAGTACAATTGTTCACTCTTACTGAAATGAGACGAACTTATTTCAATCTTAGTGAAAACATTTTTAGCTTTGTGGTCAAGAAAAAGATATATGAAATCTATATTCAGATTCTGCACTGAATTCTCGATCTATTTTACAAACTTAATGTACTAGTACCTGCCTCATAGCATTATTATAAGAATTAAAATCAAATAAGCACTTTGTTCACTGTCACAAAAATTTGAGATTTTATTTACATGAAAAATAGTTGTCACCAAAATTGTTATATTTTGTCTTTATTTTTGAAGGGAGTAGAAAACTATCAACATTTTTTATGCTGATTATGTTGTGCTTCAAGAATAATCAAGTGACTAAATTTAGACTGTTAGCCCATCTAAACTATTTTGTCATTTTTAGTAATAATTGGTTAATAATGAATGCTATTGAGGATGAAAATACAATTTCAACTTAATATTCTTGACTTCTCAGGGAGGATAATTATTTTATAAAAATAAAGTTCACATTTAAACATTAAAAATCAATTATTTCACAAATCTGTGCCCTTTCTTACAAATACTGAGAGACAAAGGTCAGAGGCAAAGTTTATAACTTTCACACTACAAAAATAAAAATAAAATAGGAATAGTCTGCTTTTGGCCATGGAGAGCCATTCAGAATCTAATTCCCGAGCTTCTGTTACATAGTTGTCGACTAAAATTTATGTAGGTATATGATTGATTACATATATACTAATTTATAGGTATATACAGATATATATTGTGTGTGCATATATGTGTGTGTGTGCATATATGTGTGTGTTTGTATATATATATATATATACATACATATATATACATATATATGTGTATATATATATATACACATATATATATATACATATATATATATATGTATATATATATATATACACACAGAGCAGCATTAGCAGATCAAGTTATATTGTGTTTATTTCAGGTCCCTTAATATAATGTAGCATATTTTTAAATGTTCTCAATGAGGAAGTATAGGATAATAAATAGATGATACATTTAATTTAGCCACAGACACACCTAATTTCAAACTCTTATGAGCTTCTTAAATATTGTATAATTTTGGGCACATTATTTGATTTACTTGACCTTTGTTCCCTCATCTATAAAATGGAGACAATAAAGTCTAATACAAAATGTTTGTATAAGCCTTAAATGAAATAGAATGGAAAAGTGGCTGATCCAAAATAAGAAGTCAAAAACCTATGATTTTTGTAACAAATATATGATTAGTAAGTGACAGGAATTGCTCAAACCTGAAATCTGTTGTATATATTAAGAGCAAAGCACCAACTTTAGTGAGGAGAGCCAAAAATGAAATCGTGTTATTAAATGCAGGAAAATTGACATGTCAGCACAGCATTGTTAAAGGAGAGTGAAATGACAAGACAGGTTAATCATGTTATCTTTTTTTATCATGTTTATACATTACCTTCTTTTTATCATAAAAGAATTAAATTGAGGGAAGCTAAGAATGTAGCAACCCTCTTTGGGAGCAGACATGAAGATCTTGTTTAGAGAGCATTGTTCAGACGTCACTCTGGTTGTTCTGGAAATGGGACCCAACCACCTCATGGTGTATTATGACACTATAATAAGAAAAATATATAGAAATAAGCTAGTTAATGATTAGCATCAACACAGATATAATTAGCTCCACAATGATGGAATTTCTGAGGGAAAAAAAAAACCACAAAGTGAATTGATCTTCAGACAAAGAATGGGGTTATTAAAGGGCTGACTGAATTAAGTGTGAAAGGAGTAGCCTAAACTCTGAGGATTCCAATTCTGTGGCTTCTCCTAGTAAATTTTATTTAATATTTTTAGGTAACAAATAGTTTATATATCTCTGTTTTCTGGCAGGTTCTAAATCTTACCATAAATTTTTAGAGGGAAAAAATGTTTAGGGAAGAATTGAAGCACATTATTCTGAGTCCTTATTTTTAAAAAGTGCCCAGAAAAGAAAACAATTGCAAATATGCTGATTTGGTGGCTACCCCTACCGTTAATAAAACCCAGAGCATCAGGCCTAACTAATAACAATAGCATCAGCACCACCTCTTTGATATAAGAATTATCTGTGAATTAACAAATCTAATCCTTACTGTAGGATAAAGAAACTGAGATTTTAAAAGATTAAATAATTTGCTTCAGTCGCATACAGTAAATAATGAATGGGTCTACCTCACAGGTACAAGCTTTGGAACATATTGTCTGTATCTGTTTGTGAAAAAGCACTTTAGTTCAAAATATACAGAACCTTGCAAAAATTTCCTAATAAAATAACATTTTAATTTTTACAGTAAAACCTATGAAGTCTCTTAATGTATCAATCATAAAACAGATCTAAAAATGTTTCAGACTTACAGAGATTTTAAAAATATACATTTTTTCCAACTCATATGTGTTTTAATATATGAATTCTAAAAGCCATTTTTGGCAATGCACTGGGTTAACCATTTGAAACGCAATTCTCATTATCTCCCCAAATATTTTTTTCTTTAATCTATTTTAATATAAAGATTAGGCTTTTAAAATTCCTTCAGGAAGACATCTAATTGCTTGTCATCTTCTTGTTCTACAATTAACACCATTTTCCACTGAAGTGAACCATACCTGCAAGCAATGAATATCATTAGGGGATTTTGATAATTAACCTACAATTGTAGCTGTTAAAAAGGTTTTAGCAATTGTCCTTTTGAAATATTTGCTACATGATTATGATTTATTTACTTAAAAAATGTCCCAATTTTAGCAGCTCAAGATATAACAGATCTTATAAAAGCTATATTGACAGCTTTCTCATATCATCTTGTATCATTTTAAGAAAGGCAGGCTGGAATACAAGTAATGCTTACGGTGCAGAGGAGTTTCTCTACAGGAGTAGCTATTATTAATGCCCTTTAGCCAAAGACCACCAAGAACACAGCTGTAGTTTAAAAAAATGGATTTATTACTCTTTGAAGTGAGTATGACTGCTTACTATAGGGAATTGTTGGGTGTCACAATAAGATGGTTAAAAAATAAATAATCTTTTATAGGATTTGGACTTAGTTTGGGTGATTTGGCAGAAGGTCCAAGGAAGCAAGGTTTTCTGCTAGTTTGAATATATTTTATGTATTTCAAAATAAGAATTTCACATTGATTTTAATATGCTGGTTGACGTGAAAGGAAAGCAGGGGCAATTTTATGATTGGTTAAAAAAGAAGTAGCTGTCACTAGTTTAGCAAAAGAATGGAAATACTGTTATTTTGTGGGCTGAGGAGCAACCTAGATTTTGTTCTACTTAGACAAACTCATGAAGTAGCCTTGCTTTGTCTCATTTTATCATGGATTTAGGATTGGTCTGAGGTTGAAATTTTGTGGAATTGTTACATAAGAGAACAACATGGCCTACAATGAGTGCTGGGTCACCTTCTGAAAGTCAA
Source organism: Homo sapiens (assembly GCF_000001405.40). Lineage (NCBI taxonomy): Eukaryota > Metazoa > Chordata > Mammalia > Primates > Hominidae > Homo > Homo sapiens. The sequence continues at coordinate 89,271,366 of NC_000013.11, read as the reverse complement.
GAAATGCTCTTTGTTTTCTTAGTCACTGTACATACCGCAAGGATAATGATTAAGAAAAATGTCTACAAGATAATGTTAAAAAATTAAAATATTAATTTTCAATTATTCATTTTTTTAGTTCAATATTTCTATCCTAATTCTTCAAATGAATTGAGAATGCTTTTCAAAGACAGTACTTGATATAAATTAATAAAAGAAATATATAATTTAAATTAGATTTTTCTGGCAGCAGAGACAGAAATCAAAGTAAATTCAATTATATATTTTCGTGATGTAAAAGAAAGAAACAACATCGTGCTGGTTATCTTTTGTTTTTCTCTTCAGAGCTATTCCTTATCCTTGTTCATCCCTCTCCTTGTCCCCAGGATGCTGGCTGGATTGTTGCTCTCTGTCTTCCAGGTAATAGCTGCCAATAGGCATCCCCAGAGGGAGATCAGTAGGAGGGAATAGAGTGAGGTCAAGGTAAATGTTAGCCATCATTTTTTTCATGTCCTGGACGTGTCCCTGGACCAAAATAAACAGCTCCTGGCTGGCTGCCTCCCCATGCAGCTCTTTTTCTGGATTCCTCTCTCTTCTTCAGCCCTTGGCCCCTTTTGGCCTGCACCATAAAGACACCTATTTTTACCAACCAGAAGGCATTGCACTATTTATTGTGGTTTCACTACACTTTGCTTGTTCCTGTGTATCTATTTCACTCATTAAACTCTTTGCAAAGTATCCCTTTTTACATTGCTGCAGTTTTTTGCTATAGGGCAGAGTGAAACACATATATTATTTATAATATCTTTTGAAATAAAAGTATCACATTGATTTTGATGCATTGGTTGATGTAAATATATTTCCCTATAAGACTTTTACTAATATTTTCAATAAGCAATGTGGAGGATTCCATATAGCTGCCAAATTGATATTTTGAAATAATCCATTGTTTAAAATGCCTATTGTTTATATTGTATGCTAATGCTGATAACTAGATAGTCTATGTTTTCACCTCGATCTGGAACAATGATGTTTAATATTTCTCAAATAATCACACTTTACCTATGTATCATGAACAAGTCACACATCATGACTTGCCTGGGAAGATCCTGGCTTATACTCAAAGTCCCTTTTACCTCCAGTTTAATATATATTAAATGTTTTTATTTTAAAAATGTTTTATTTATATTTTCATTAACACAAGCTGGAGGATTTGCTATACCTCCCAATTGGACTTTGAGTCTCTGATGAAGTGTCATGTATTAGTGGATGCATGTGAAACGAAAAGATTTACCACAATAATGCATCACTAAATCTGAAGCAAAGGAGATCAAACCTGTCTTTCTTTTATTGACCTCCCCAAGAAGCTAACATCTTCCCCAGAAGCTATCATAGCTAACATCTCATTTGCATGTGTAGTCTGCAGGGTGCTTACTGATAAAACATGAGTCTGCAGGGAAAGCTAGCTACTCCGGGTTGTTGCCTGGGGTCATAGAAGTAGGATGCTGCTTTCTCTGTCAGGAATCTGGTTTTAATTTTATAAAAAACAAGGCATGGCAAGAAAGAGGATCAAAATGAAAAAACCCAGAAGAAATGAGTAAGATAGCAATTCATTCCCACAACTAATACATATATTCAATTTTTCAGAAACAAAGTTTATAATTACTTTGATAAGACTGTTCCTTACCTTGTGAGAAGGAACGAGGTGCCCAGTTTCCAGTCAGTGAGGTCACTGAAAATGCAGGAAGAGTATAGGCTAGGGGAAAGCAAATTTGTGCAGGAAATCTTAGTGGAACAGCATTATGTGGAGTACATAAAGTATATGCAAACGTTTAAAAGAGTGGATTAGTATTGTATTGCATAATGTAAATCTAAATCTATTTATGTAATTTATTATTTCTTTGTATCTTTTTAGGCAATAATCACATTTATCAGCAAAAAGCCCACAGAGTTTAACTAAAAGAAATAATAAAATTTAACATAACATTTAACTACTGACTTTAATTTACTTTGGACATTTTTCATGAATTTGTAACTAGAAACAAAATCTTTGAGAAAGTTATTCATGTTAGGGGTTGTACCAATAATTCTGACAAGATGAAAACCAAATAACACCAGACTAATTAAGAAATGCCATCATTTACTTCAAAAGTAAAAAATGTATTTAAAGAAAATGTGCCCAAAAGTGATGCTTTCACAAGGTACAATTATAGAAAGTACATTTCTATTTCTGTGAACCCTGTCACAGAAATATAATGGTTATCTATTCTATATGTAGTTAGAAATACTTTTATCTAAATCTCACAATTATACTTCCATATTAATATTGCTCATTTTTGCAAGTATTTGGCACATACATGCAAAGTGAAGCAATAATTATGTATTGACTTTATTATCAGAAACCTTCCACAAATGACTAGTTTTACATCAATATTATCAGAGAATTCAGAATGAAAATCAGTAAGAATAAATACTAATAAATGTTTTGAATTTTTAATGGAATTTATTAAATCAAAGTCAAATTTTTGAAAGTTCATTTTGTCAAAGTAGAAAATCTTCATTATTATAATTGTACTTTACATTCAGTTACTATTTTAATAATGCGTGCAAAACTTTTTTTAAATATAAATATAAATTTGAGTATAGTGCTATTAAACAAAAACAACAGCAATAACCCCCTAGATTCTTATTAAATTAATAGATATATGGAATAGAAATGTACTTGAAATTGATTGGAAAGAGCCCTTAGTCCATATTTACATCTAAAATTTGATTATTCTATGTTATAATTTAAAATAGGAACTATGTACTAAAAATTCATGTAAATTATACATAATATAATATATATATTTTGTATCATCTGTCATTCATGTATAATATATAAATAATTTATGTATTATATATGAATATATAATATACATACGATACATGAATAGAAATGTATATACTTTATATATAATTTATGCACAATAATGTACATATATATTCACACAAACACATTCATATATAAAACATGTATAAATGATTAAAATGGAAAAGCTGATGTTGACAACAAAAACCCATTTCAGCAGGGTGTACCTGGCATGAGACAGATGCCAGATGAACAGAACTACAAAAGATGAATAAAATATTTAAAAATCACTGAAGGCATTTATAAAACAACAAAGGCTGCCAGAACTCCAGAGCCACAATCCTATAGGACAGGGTCATGCATTGAGGTGAGCCCTGCATTTACTGCTGCTTTTTCTTTTTGAGCCTTTATTCAATTCTAGGTGCGAGACATAGGGGCAAACTGAGAGTAGCAATCCAGGACTTGCAGCATTCCCTTGGCTGAGAAAACAGTCACTAAAATGTATGACTTCTGAACAACCAAGAATGAGGGCAATATCCTAAGAGAAAGGAAAACCACAGAGAAATGACCCACACAGTGTGAGTACAGTATTGCTGTAAGACATTATTCAACTTTTACACTGTTCCAGTACAGGTGATGACTCAGATAAAGAAAGCATAAAAACAGCTGCTCAGAAACTACAAAGCGAAGCGTGGATTCAACAGTCTCACCACTCAGGAGAGACAAATACAGAGCTTAGGAACCCCTCAACACAAGAGGAAGGACCTTTGTACATACCCTAGGATTTCACTTGGGAGACTTGAAAAGGTTAAACTCTAGATGTAAGCACAAACCAGGTATGTATTTCTTGTTCTGTGCAAGGTGGTGAAAATAGGTAGATCTTCTGCAGAGAAAAATAATACCCTGCACACACTATATAATTTTCCATATATATGTTTAAAGAATTTAATTCAAAAACAAATAGTGGTTAGAAAGAGGTCCAAATGAACAAAAACCGAAAGAAATGCATAAGATAGTAATTCATACCCACAACCAATAAAGATATTAGAGTTACTGGAGACGAAGTTTAAAATTACTGTGATTTAAATATTAAAGAATATTGACAAAAATGGAATTTCAGCAAAGAAAAACAAAAATCAATTAGATGGGAGGTTTAGAACTGAATAATTCAATAACATATTATGAATTTAAAAGATTGGTTTAAAAATAGTGTAGTCACAGCATTAAAAAGAGCAAATACACTGAAAGTTAGAGCAAGATAAACTGTCTGAACTGATGCATCCGAAATAGATTTTAAATACACAATAGTATTCAAAAGACATACAATTCATGATGATAAGATCTAATGAAGCTCCCAAGGGAAGGGAGAAAACTTGAGTCAGAAACAATACTTGAAAAAATAAAACTGGACAATTTTCTAAAACTTATGAAAACCTAATGTGAATCCACAACTTCAAGGAGATCTAAAACAATATGAAACAAAACACCACACACACACACACACACACACATACACATACACACACACACAGAGGCAGGAGAAATACAAAATAAAACCACACCTATGTTACTTTGCTAAAAAAGGAAAAAAAGAAATCTTAAAAGCAAAAACAAGAAAACACATTTTCCTTAAAGAGGCAATAATAAGAATGGTAGCTAATTTTCAAATAGAAATAGTGGAGATAAGAAAAAAATAAAAACATTGCTTGAAAGTGCTGAGAGAAAATAACTGCCAAGCAAGAATATTTTGTACAGAAAATATTCTCCAAAAATGAAGGTAAACAAATATATTTTCGGCAAAAACAAAAACAGTGAAACATTCACCAGCAGAGCTCTGCCCTTGGAAATTATAAAGTATATTATTTAAGCAGAAATAAAATTAGTCCAGATAGAAACTGTAAGGCAGAAAGGAATGAAAAGGAATACAGATGGCAAATATGTGAATAAATCTAAGATAACGTCGACTACTGAGAACAGTAATAGCAATATCTTTTGAGGTTTAAAATATATGCAGAAATATAAAGCGCAAGAAAAAGAGTGGGAAATCTAAGAGGGGATATAAATGTAGGCAAAAATTATGAGGTCTTTGAATTTTTTGGAAATAATTAGACATATACTGATTTCATTTTACTAATCAAGAACAAATATTGCAATGCGTGCAATAACCATTGAATATAAGTAAAAGTAGTTTCAATTAACAAGTTAACAGAGAGGAAGAAAAGAAAAAATGTATTTGTTTTATAACATGTAGTATTCCATAAAAATAACATACTTACAAAAGAATAGAGAATAGTACAAAAACATGAAATGGTAAAGTGGTACATATAAATACGAAATCCCTTCATTTCATAAAATGTAAATGGGATATATTCTGCAATTAAAAGCAAACATTGTCAAACTAGCTGAGAAACAAAATTCTAACCATATGCTGGCATAACAGAAAACTATATTAAATATAAATAAAATGGTTGACAGCAAAGGATAAAAACATGCGTAATGTGAGAACATTAACAAAAAGGAAGCAATATAGCTACATTAATACTAGAGAATGTATACTTCAAAGGAAGAAGCATTTCTAGAGATAACAATCTAATAATGCTTAAAAGTTAAACATCAAGAAGCTAAAACAACCCTAATTTTGTATATGCTCAATGAAATAGTTTAAAGATTTTTAAAGGAAAAACTGCAAAATAGCTTGAAGAATAGACAGAAATATTTCAAAAGTAGTTGGTGTTCTTTTTTTTTTTCTTTTTTTTTATTATACTTTAAGTTTTAGGGTACATGTGCACATTGTGCAGGTTAGTTACATATGTATACATGTGCCATGCTGGTGCACTGCACCCAATAACTCGTCATCTAGCATTAGGTATATCTCCCAATGCTATCCCTCCCCCCGCCCCCAACCCCACAACAGTCCCCAGAGTGTGATGTTCCCCTTCCTGTGTCCATGTGATCTCATTGTTCAATCCCCACCTATGAGTGAGAATATGCGGTGTTTGCTTTTTTGTTCTTGCGATAGTTTACTGAGAATGATGTTTTCCAATTTCATCCATGTCCCTACAAAGGACATGAACTCATCATTTTTTATGGCTGCATAGTATTCCATGGGTAGGAAGAATCAATATTGTGAAAATGGCCATACTGCCCAGGGTAATTTACAGATTCAACGCCATCCCCACCAAGCTACCAATGACTTTCTTCACAGAATTGGAAAAAACTACTTTAAAGTTCATATGGAACCAAAAAAGAGCCCGCATCGCCAAGTCAATCCTAAGCCAAAAGAACAAAGCTGGAGGCATCACACTACCTGACTTCAAACTATACTACAAGGCTACAGTAACCAAAACAGCATGGTACTGGTACCAAAACAGAGATATAGATCAATGGAACAGAACGGAGCCCTCAGAAATAATGCCGCATATCTACAACAATCTGATCTTTGACAAACCCGAGAAAAACAAGCAATAGGGAAAGGATTCCCTATTTAATAAGTAGTTGGTGTTCTTAATGCAACTATCTCAGTAAACAACAGAAGAAGCACACAAAAGAAAAATCCGTGAGTATACATTTAAACAACACTCAGCAAGCCCCAACTAAATGATATTTATAAAATGTAATATCTAACATTATTCTAAAGTTTATGTCAAAAAGTAAAAAACAGTAGATCATATGTTATTTTAAAAATTTGAATTCAGAATAATGGTTGCCGGAGCTAGAGAGTGGGGGCAATAGGGAGATTCTGGATGAAGGATAAAAAGTTTTATTTAAGCAGGATGTATATGTTCTGAGAATCTAATGTATTGCATGGGAAATAGAGTTAATAATACTGTATTGTAATTTGAAACTCACTAATGCAGTAGGTTGTTAATGTTCTCTTTCTCCCCCACAATGCAAAAAAATATAACTACTGAGATGATGAATATGTTAAGTAGCTTGATTATGGTAGTCATTTCATAATGTTTTTATACATCAAAACATCACATGATACATTATATACATATATATACACACACACAATTTTTAGTTTTATATCTCAGTAAAACCAGAAAAAATAAAAAGAAAATGAACAACTTGATTAAAAATAAACAAAAGAGCTCAACAGACACTCCATTAAAAAAGATACACAGATTGCAAGTAAGTTTATAAAAAAACTTAATGTCATATATTATTAGGAAATTGGAAATTAAAACAGCAATAAGATACCACTATGCATGTATTAGAATTGCCGTAACCTGAAACAGAGATAGTGTCAAATGCTACTGAAGATGTGGAATGACAGAAACTTTCATTGATTGCTTGTGGAAATGCAAAGTGGTACATTCCCACAACTAAACATATTCTAACCATATTATCCAGAAATCATGATCCTTAATATTTAGCCAAATGAACTGAAAGCTTGTATCCACACAGAAGCCTCCACATGGACATTTGCCTCAGCAACCAAGATGTCTTTCAACAGGTGAATGAATAATTAAACTGTGGTACAACCCTAATGTAAACTATGGACTTAGTTGATAATGATGTGTCAATGTAGGTTCATAATTTTAACAAGTGTACTACTCTGGTTGAGGTTTGTCCATAGTGGAAGAGGCTGTGCATTTTTATAGTGTGGGGTTCATGGGAACTCTGTATTTTTCATTAAATTTTACTGTCAACCTAAAAGTTCTCTAAAAATAAAGTTTATAAATTAATAATAAAAAAGAATTTATACAAAAAGTGCTTTGACAAGTTACAAATTAATACAATAAAAGTAATAACAGAAAAAAGCACAAATATTTAGAAACGAAACAACCAAATTATATTGTCTGGAAAAAACTACAGTAAAAATTAGAAACAGCTTGAAATTAATATTAATAAAATATAACACATTAAACTTATGGGGGTGCAAATAAATTTCTACTTGAAAGGAAACTTATAACTTTAAATATATGCATTTAAAAAAAGGAATCTTAAAATTCAACAATCTCAGAATCCGTGTGAAGAAGGTAGAAAAAGCATTAAAATTAAAGGCAAAAGATTATGAGATTGGGAATAAAGATAAGCACATATATACTTTCAAGTAGGAAATAAAAGCAAAAAAGAGAAAATCAGTAAGAAAAGTCTCCCAGTAAAAAAACAAACAAAACAAAACCAAACAAAAAAACCCTGGGACTTGATGGCTTCATTGCTGAATTCTACCAAACATTTAAAGAAAAACTAGTACCAGTTCTACTGAAACCATTCCAAACAACAGAGGAGGATGGGATACTTCCAAACTCATTCTATGAGGCCAGTATTACTCTGATACCAAAACCAAAGATATTTCAAAATAAAAAAATACTAGCAAACTGAATTCAACAATACATTGGAAAGATTATTTATCCTGACCAAGTGGGATTTACCACTGGGATGCAGAGATTGTTTGACATATGAAAATAAATGTGCTACATCATAGCAACAGAATGAAGTACAAAAACCATATTATCATTTATTTTCTTTCTTTATTTATTTTTTGAGGCGGAGTCTCACTCTGTCGCCCAGGCTGGAGGGCAATGGTGCAATTTCGGCTCACTGCAAGCTCCGCCTCCCAGGTTCACGCCATTCTCCTGCCTCAGCCTCCCCTGTAGCTGGGACTACAGACACCCCCCACCACGCCCAGCTAGTTTTTTGTATTTTTAGTAGAGACGGGGTTTCACTGTGTTAGCCAGGTTGGTCTTGATCTCCTGGCCTCGTGATCCGCTGGCCTCAGCCTCCCAAAGTGCTAGGATTACAGGCGTTAGCCACTGCGGCTGGCTGATCATTTCAATTGATGCTAAAAAAGCATTTGATACAATTCAACATTGTTTATGATAAAATCCATTCAAAAACAATATATAAAAGGAGCATACCTCAACATAATAAAAGCCATATACAACATACCCACAGCTAGTATCATACTGAATGGGGAAAAACAGAAAGCCTTTTCTCTAAGATCTGGAACATGATAAGGATGCCCACTATTCCCACTGTTGTTCAACATAGAACTGGAAGTCCTAGCTATAGCAATCAGACAAGAGAAGTATATGAAAGGCATCCAAATAGGAAGGAATTAAGTCAAATTATCCTTGTTTGCAGATGATGTAATCTTATATTTGGAAGACTCCACAAGAAAACTATTGGAACAGATAAACAATTAAATAAATTTGCCAGGGGCCAGGCGCAGTGACTCACGCCTGTAATCCCAGCACTTTGGGAGACCCAGAAGGGTGGATCACGAGGTCAGGAGATCGAGACCATCCTGGCTAACACGGTGAAACCCCGTCTCTACTAAAAATACAAAAAATTAGCTGGGCGTGGTGGTGGGCACCTGTAGTCCCAGCTACTCGGGAGGCTGAGGCAGGAGAATGGCATGAACCCAGGAGGCGGAGCTTGCAGTGAGCCAAGATTGCACCACTGCGCTCTAGCCTGGGTGACAGAGCCAAACTCTGTCTCAAAAAAATAAAAATAAAAAAAAATAAAAATAAATAAATAAATTTGCAAGATACAAAATCAACATATGAGAATCTGTAGCATTTTTGTATGCCAACAATGAACAACGTGAAAAAGAAATATGAAAGTAATCCCATTTATAATAGCCACACATAAAATTAAATACTTAGGAATCAAGCAAAGAAATGAAAGATCTCTATAATGAAAGCTATAAAAGACTAATGAAATAAATTGAAGAGGACACACAAAAATAAAAAGTTATTCCATGTTTATAGATTGAAAGAATCAATATTGTTAAAATGTCCCTACTACCCAAAGCAATCTACAGATTCAATGCAATCCTTATCAAAATACTAATGACATTCTTCACAGAAATAGAAAAAACAATCTTAAAATTTACATGAAACCACAAAAGACCCAGAACAGCCAAAGGTATCCTAAGCAAAAAGGACCAAACTAGAAGAATCACATTACCTGACCTCGAATTCTACTACAGAGCTATAATAACCGAAATAGCATGGTAGTGGCATATCAACAGACACATAGACCAACGGAAGAGAATACAGAACCTGGAAACTAATCCACACACCACTCAGTGAACTCGTTTTTGATAAAGGTGCCAAGAATATACAGTGGGGAAAAGACAGTCTCTTCAATAAATGTGCTGGGTAAACTGGTTATCCATATGCAGAAAAATGAAACTAGATCTCTATCTCTCATCATATACAAAATGAAATTAAAATGCATTAAATACTTAAACCTAAGGCCTCAAACTATGAAACTACTGGAGGAAAACATTGGGTAAATTTTCCAGAAAATTGTTCTGGGCAAAGATTTCTTGAGCAATACACCACAGTCACAGGCAACTGAAGCAAAAATGGACAAATGGGATCACATCAAATTAAAAGACTTCTTCACAGTAAAGAATACAATCAACAAAGTGAAGAGACAACACATAAAATGGAAGAAAATATGCAAAATACCACTTCAACAATGAATTTATCACCAGATTATATAAGGAGCTCAAACAACTCTGTAGGAAAAAATCTGATAATCTGGTCAAAAATGGGCAAAAGATTTCAATAGACATCTCTGAAAAGAAGACATACAAATGGCAAACAGATATATGAAAAGGTGATGAATATCACAGATCATTAGAGAAATGCAAATCAAAAATACAATGATATATCATCTCACCCCAGTTAAAATGGCTTATATTCAAAAGGTGGGTAATAACAAAGGCTGGTGAAGATGTGGAGAAAAGTGAATCCCACTACACTGTTGGTGGAAATGTAAGTTAATACAACTACTATGGAGAACACTTTTGGAGACTCTTCAAAAAACTAAAATAAACTAAAAATAAACAATAAACAAAAAATAAACAAAAAACTAAAAATAGAGGTACATATGATCCAGCAATCCCACTGCTAGGTATATACTCAAAAGAAAGGGAATCAGAATCTCAAAGAAATACCTGCACTCCTATGTTTGCTGCAGCACTGTTTATAATAACTAAGATTTGGAGGCAACCTAATTGTTCCTCAACAGATGAATGGATAAAATATGGTACATATACACAGTGGAGTACTATTTGGTCATAAAAAAGAGTGAGATCTAGTCATGTGAAACAACATGGCAAGAACTGGAATCATTATGTTAAGTGAAATAAGCCAGGCACAGAAAAACGAACATTGCATGATCTCACTTATTTGTGGAATCTAAATTAAGACAGCTGAACTCATGGACTTGGAAAGTAGAAGGATGGTTACTTTCTGACCTACACATGGTTTGAATTTTTTCCCTGTTTATGAATGTATTCCTTAAAACCCATTTTTTTAAGCAGAGAAAACAGAGGCTACTTGATAAGTGGTATTAGTTACAAAAGGAATTAATCTCGTATGCTGGCTGAGAAGAAGAAATATTATAAGGATATGAGAACAGAACCCATATAAAATTATACAGCCCACTCTATAGACGTTTAAACGTATGCCAATGGAAAGCAAAACTGTATGACAACAAACTGGAATATTTTAACTAAGTGCTCCAGTTTAACATTTTTCAAGCAATATTTCTTGTTCCACTTCCAACTAGCAAATTCTTTCAATGCTTCTAGATTACATCATGAAAGAAAGAAGAAAGCAAGAATTAGTTTCAATCAAGCAATAAAAACTGCAATTGCTTAGACAAAAATCTGGCTGCATTTTAGATTCGGACCACCTAGGTCTAGTGCCCAATCTTAGCCACAATAAGGGCAACCCAAATAATTAGCAACCCAGTAAAGGTCCTCTTAGTAGATGATGAATGAAAATGTGTAGCAACCTGGGAAACTGGAAGTAAAGAGACACTTTCTTTATATAAATACAACCTAATAATATGATATTATAATTTTACCTGTTACTGGATGTTGTTAAAAATAATAGCTGATTCTGAAAACACAACATACTTTTTTTATTCATGAAGATTTAAAGAACATTTATTTGAAATCTGCAATTAGTATGTTTCTATGTATATCAATCAGCATGATTTTCTCTGTGGTATAGGCATTCACTGATTAAAAATATTAAGGATTTCTCTAGGCTCATGAATACTAATTTGTTCTTTTTCCTTTTTAATTAAAATTTGATAGCATGAGTCCTACACATTTTCTTCCTCAATTAATTAGGAAAAGCACAAGTAAATAAAAAAAGTATTGAAAATGTTTAATTTTTATTTTACATCTATACTTCTCTGAAATCTCACAACCCAAACCAGAAAACTGTAAAATCTATGGATAATATTTAGCAGTAGATCAAATTATTTAACCAGATATACTTAAACTTTAACCCTCGAGTCATCTGGATGGACATCATTACATGACTTCCACCTCTGCTAAGCCAAATATAAATCTAGTTGATAAAACTGCTCCCATATTTCCACGTCAGCATAATTAACGTTGCTGGAGAAGGCAAATCAAATTAAATATTGTTACCCTATGGCATAGTTGGATTACAGTCAGTGTTTTCCAATTGCACTTCTTCTGTTAGCAACGTAATTTTTGCAGTTTTAGTTAACGGTCATTGTGAAGAATACTTTCTGAATAAATTACAGGAAACTCCTTGGCTTTAAAAAATTTCTAATCAAATTTGATAAGGCAGATAACATTATCAGCAAACCTGGCAAGCCTTTATCCTATATTGTTACTCATGAATTTTTAAAGGGTAAACAATACAATCAGATATATTTTAAAAATACTTATTAATAATTATATGCATAATTTTTAAATTTAGATATCCATTCCCATATTGATAAACATTTAGGTTGTTTACAAAATTTTACAAACAATGCTGTAATACACTTGTATGTGTGAAGTAAAACTACAGAACTATGAATAGAAAAGTTACACACCAGTTTCAGAAGAGTGATGTACTCAGTGAAAGTGGAAGGGATGAGCAAAGTCACATAGTTTCCCTGACCTTTATCAACAAACATAATGAATTCATAATACTACATACATCAAATGTGACATTAAACATTCCTTGTGGCGTAGTGCTCAAATTATTCTTATATTTTAAATATCACTAAATTTAAAAAGCAAGAGAAAAAATGAATATAAACATTACTGCATGAAATTAGTATTTTAAGTGTAGGACTTGTTTAGAACTTGTTTCTGCAACCATATTTAATTACACACATCTTAATAATACTTCTTAAATTTACTACTCAGTTTTCTGTTATTAAAACTGTTCTCAGAAACTGGGACTATCACATGACCGTCTTTGTATTAGTCTGTTCTCACACTGCTAATAAAAACACACCAGAGACTGGGTAATCTATAAAGGAAAGAGGTCTAATTGACTCACAGTTCAGCATGGCTGAGGAAGCCTCAGGAAACTTACAATTATGGCAGAAGGGGAAGCAAGCATGTTCTTCTTCACAGGGCAGCAGGAAAGAGAAAAATGAGAACTGAATGAAAGGGAAAACCCCTTATAAAATCATCGGATCTCGTGAGAACTTACTATCATGAGAATAGCATGAGGGCAATCGCCCTCGCCCTATGATTCAATTACCTCCCACCAGGTCCCTCCCATGACGTGGGAAGTATGAGAACTACATTCAAGATAAGATTTGGGTGGGGACACAACAAAACCATACTAGTCTTTTAAAAGGTAAGTGAGTTGAATCCATGTGTAGTAGAAGTCATTATGAAAGCTTTTATTTTAGCAAGGAAATTAGCAATGAAGTTGGTAGTAATGAATCATCAGTTTTAAGTGTTATCTTAGGATTCAGACCACTTGACTCCTGAGATAAGAGCTTTGGGGACTTGGTTAAACAATGTCTTAAAGTAGCACAATTAGTATTGAAGGATATCTGGGGTGGCCACAGTAGCAAGTACCACATTTCATCACCCGGGGTTATCGAAAAGAGTTAGCAAATTGCTCAAAGTCACAAACACTTAGTAAGTCTCAGAAGCAGTATTTGATTCCAGGTGAGAGGAATTCTAAGTGGAAGAAAAACCTCCAAATTGAGTGTCGCCAGACTTGTCCAAGCCACTGATATGGAACACTTAAAAATGTGGATCTTGAAGTTAGGCTACTTGGCTTAAAATCCCCCGGAAACCACTGGCCAGCTGCTAGCCTTTGCACACAGGTCTCTAAATTCACATGCTAACATCCCCCTCTCTGCAATTCCAAAATTCAGTAGCTTTAACATATCAAAGATTGTAAAGGTTTGGTACAAACTTACTTGGTGTCATTTAAAAGGAAATTTAAAATTTTATTAACTCTGTTACCTATGCATATCCAAATGTTTCATACAGACATGCTAATATTTTTATTCATATATTTCTCAATATGTTTGATTGTACTGCTATAGACACCTCTAGAGTTGTTATCAAATAGAGAGTAAATGGGTCACATCATATTTCTAAAATATTTTGGATGCTCTAGCATGTCTAGTTTAAATAATTCTGTATAATACATTCTTGGTCCTTTTTTTTATCAGTTGTAGAATTGGAGGAAAAAAGTATCTCTCATATAGAATTTTCATGGCAATTAAAATAATGTCGATTAGTTACTGAGCTCAATATCTGAGCCTCTTAATAATTACTCAGTCCATGTTTACTATCATTAATATACCCTCAGGGTAAAAGTCAAAACTGACTTGTAAAGAAACTGTTATAAGATATTCTAAGTAACTTGAAATTTCTATCTGACCTAGATCATTGCCCTACTTCCATTTCTTTAGCATACAGATGGCCTATGTCTATAAAGAAGACCATATAAAATGAAAAAATAAGGTTAACTTGAGATAGAATTTTTCTCAGCATCAAGATTCATAAAAGAGTGGTATGATATCTTCAGACTATGCAAAGATTCCAGAATTACCCGACCTAGGATTTTTTTTTTTTTGGTCAGGAGGTGAGGCAAAATGTAACAATAAAGCACAAATCCTAAAATATAAAATTCATATCTCAAGTTTCAAAATAGGAAGACCTATTTGATGGTGAAAACTTGGAACAAATATAAGAAAAGTCAAAATAAATAATGCACACTTGCTGTTTCGGTGGTGACAAAAGATCAAGCGCTGAGTGCTGTACCCACTTGCAATAGGATAGGCAGCTGGTAAGAGGCCTCCTAATGGTCCCTGCCTCCTGGTACTTAACACCCTTGAATATTTCCTTCCCTTTGAATGTGGGCTACATTTAGATGTTTCCTTTTCATGAAAAGAGTATGACAGAAGACAATTTCAAGTATAGACTGCAAAAAGACCATGTCTTTATTCTTGTGTCCTGTTTCTCCCTTGCTTGCTCTGAAATAAGCCAGCTGTCATTATGTGAGCTGCAGTAAGGAGATGCGTAAGTGGGGAGGCCCTGAGTCCGTGAGAAACTCAGGGCTTCTGCCTACCATCAGGTGTGGAATCCTGTCAACAACTGCATTCCAGCCTGTAGCTTATGAAAGATCAGGAACCAGAGGCACTCAGCTAAGCAACATTTGGAATCTTGGTCCACAGAAATGGACAAGTAGCAAACGTTTGCAAGTTTACACCATGAAGCTTTGGGATAATTGCTTACATGGCAATAAAAAGTATTTAACTATAGGGATAATGCTAAATGGCTTCTGTTATGGAACTGAATATAATTTTTATGAATATGAATAAAGCTAAAATGGATAGTGTAGTTGGAGGTGACAAAAGAAATAGTATAGTGTGAGTGAAGTGCTAGTATAAAGAAATATATGTGTTCTAATTTTTAAATGGATGTTATAGTGGAGTAAAAATACTATCTAGATTTCAAAAATTACAAAATGTAAATGTAAGAACATGACCTGTCAATGTGCACTAAGTGAAACCAAATAATGCAAAATAGTGCACAAATAATGCATAATGAAACATGGATATTATTAAGAATAATGAAGAGAAAGAGGAAAGGGGAAGTAGCTAACATACAGTGAACAATTTTGATATTGCTGTATTAGTCAATTTTCATACTGCTACGAAGAAATACACCAGACTGGGTAAATTATAAAGAAAAAGAGGTTTAATAGACTCAGAATTCCACATAGCTGAAGAGGCCTCACAATCATGGCAGAAGGCAAAGGACAGGCAAAGACACATCTTACATGGCAGCAGGCAAAGAAAGCATGTGCAGGGGAACTGCTCTTTATAAAAGGACCAGATCTCATGAGACTTATTTGCTATCACAAGAACAGCACAGTAATAACCCACCCCCATGATTCAGTTACCTCCTACCTGGTACCTCCCATGTGGGGTTTATGGGAGCTACAATTCAAGGTGAGATTTGGGTGGGGACACAGCCAAACCATATCAAATGCTGTCTGTCTTTTTAGCCCTTTATATTCATTAACTCATTCAATCCTCACAACAACCCTAGAAAAAGTGTGCTATTTATTTATTTTTTTTGAGATGGAATCTCACTCTGTTACCCAGACTAGAGTGCAATGTCACGAACTCAGCTCACTGCAATCTCCGCCTCCCGGGTTCACGCAATTCTCCTGTCTCACTACTGAGTAGCTGGGATTACAGGCGCCCACCACCATGCCCGGCTATTTTTTTTGTATTTTGGGTAGAGAAGGGGTTTCGCCATGTTGGCCAGGCTGGTCTTGAACTCCTGATCTTAGGTGATCCACCTGCCTCGACCTCCTAAAGTGTTGGGATTACAGGCGTAAGCGACCGTGCTCTGCCCAATGTGTGCTATTTTTATCTCCATTTTATAGATGAGAACAGTAAAAAGGGTACTATACAATAAAACTCATGTTACATAGTTAAGTATGTGCTCAGAAAAATAAACCCTCAAATGCTTGTTAAAGAGTAAAAGAAATAACAATATTAAAAAAAAGAACAGAAAGAAAAGCACAAGAAAGGAATGAAAGATTTAAAAAGAGACTATGCACCCTTCCATGCTTAAAAAAAAAAAAAAACTCAATGTCATGCATAATCAGAATCCTTCCCAACTTAGGAAAAAATGTGCTTTCTCCTTTCTCTTTCTGGAATTCTCTCCCCAGCAGCCCAATCTTTACTCACATTCCCATCTTTCATTTATCTCCTTATTGGTCTACATCACTTCCTCCCATGAACTTCTTTGATCACCAAAACTAAAATGTCCTTCTTGTAGTCTCCTTTTTTCTCTTTAAATCTTTGATAATTCAGGTACATTAAGTTAATCATACCCCTCATTTATTAGTCATTATCTCTCATAAATTGATAATTATCCTCATTTAGTGGTCTGTGAGTGCCTCTAGGTACTCAGTTTAGTTTATATCACTTTCATTACTTTTCTCCTTCATGTTATCCTCAATCTCTGTCTATTCCTCAATAGTCACCACCTACAGCACTCTTGAGAAGAACCATAATGGATTAGTTTAGGTCTTGTAATTGTACCTATAGGTAGGATAAGAAGGCTTATTCTTAGAAAAAGAAATCGATTGCATTTTAAAAATTAATTCTAAGTAAACACAAAATACAGACTAAATGTTAAAATAAACTCTTTTGGGATTAAGAAGTTAGCTTATTCATTACCACCACTATTGATTGTATTAAAAATTGTATGCATATGTTTAAAGTAGCTATTTCATCTGCCATTTCTTTGTTGATGATAAAAAAATCTTGTCAGAAAGTTTGAGTCATAAACACATCAAGTTTACCACATAATTATTTAAGAAAAAGTTTAGCACATAATTATTTAAGCAGTAAAAAAATAGGCAGTTCACAAATATAAGTACATTGCCGAAAAATATGTTTCAAAATCAGACCATTTAGATATGGGTTTTATTGGTAAGAATTTTCATTTGTTAAATAGAATTTCTATGAAAATTAATATTTTTGCAATAGGAAAATAATTAGTCACATGGGAACCATTATGACAGTTGCTATTACAGGTGAAACAGTTCTGAATAAATTCAAAAGATGAGGAACGAAAGTATTATATTGTATATTCTGAGTTTTTTTTTTCTTTTATACCTCAGACATACCTACAGTTGATAAAATGGCAAGGCTTACTTTGATAAGTAAAGAACTGCAGACAGATAATATCTACAGAGGTGATCAAAAAGGAACTAGCAATAGTAACTAATAGCAGCACTTGGAGAAATTCTATGGTCCCTCCAAAGGAAAGTTGGCCTTAATGCTGGAAGTAAGCAATATATTTATTGACGTGGCAAAAGAAAAGGCACCATATAATTCTGATAAATAAATAAAATTTATATGTTCTTAATATATTCTTTTGCTCAATCCTTGTTTATATAACTGAAACCTCAGGGCTTCAGAACTACATAAAACACCTATCCTTTTCATTTAGCATTTCCTATAAAGAAAATCACTTATAGTTAAAATTGTATGTCACACAAAGCATTTTCTTAACAAGCAAACAAATAAAATGTTTTTCTCATCCTCCAGATTTTCTATAAAAATGTTTGTGTCTCCTAAAAAGTTTGGAGCAATGTGATTTCATATGACTATATGTTCTTGTGCCACTGTTGTTTTTACGTTATTTAGCGTCTGCAGATATAATATTATTTTCATGGATGAAACTGACCATCCACCTCTTTATTCATCCTTCCCTCAACTTTTTCCAAGAATAATAATAAAAGAAAAAAGATGACCCTTGAAAAAAAAGTAATTAGCAAAAACGAGTTTTGCTGCAAAATTTATTTCATATAACTGAAAAAAAAGAACAAAAAACCTAGAAGAAATACAGCAAGTATGCTATCATTACTGAACCTAATAGAGGTCCCATAATGAACTGCAAAGTTTGAACTACAAAACCATTTGAATCCAAACTTTAAAACAGAAAATATATTAACATACATTTCCCTATCTGGTCAGAATAAACTTTCTGAAAATGGATAAATACTGAGAATTAGAAAAAATATTAATAAGCCTAATGTGATAGATACATATTTAGTGTACAGGATGACCAATAAAAAAAGCCAACATAAACTCTTCGGGAAGCTCTTTTGTTCATAATCCCTGGTAATAAACATTTCAGGTGCCAAAAGAATGAAATGAAGAAGCTTGAAATCTATACTTTGCACAGAAATCTATTTGGGGGGAAAAAGGCAAATTTAAGTCTAAAACAAGTAGCAATTTTTAAGAAGATAAAATTAGAACAAACTACTGAAGTCTAGAAACCAAAACGTTAAGTTTGTAGATGAGGAATCAGAAGCCCAGTGAGATTAAATGACTTCGTTAAAGGCATGGGCAGCAAATTCATTAAAATCCAAATTTCTCAGTCCAAGTTCATGTGGTTTTTACTTGTCCAAAGAGACTGTTCTATTTCAGGACTAGTAAAATTAGGTAGAGTCCTAAAAATAATTCTTTAGGGAGTAGCCATTAACATGCTTTGTAGTTTCTAATATACAATGTTAAAGCAATTTCAGAGTAAGTCACATATAAAAGATAGTTTATAAACTTAAGGGGTAAAAACTAACCTTTGAACAAAAATAATTTTTATAAAAAAGTTGAGAAGAATTTACTCTCTTTGTGAATAACATCTTAGCTGACATAATTGTTCACTTTGTTCACTGAAATAATACATTTTTCTCTAATATGGGACATGTTCTACATACTTTTAAATATATAAAATGAGAAAATATGTTATAATTCCAATATTCCTTAAGAATTTCTGAAAAAAATGAGAAAAAAATTCGTAAAGTATTGATTTTTCACTGTAGGATGAAAAAATGAAAATATAACAGGGAAAATGAAAACTAAAACACATAAATTTGTTATAACTATAAGGAATTTCATATGCAATATTTCGGTGATGTATAAAACACAATTATGTAATATCCATTCTAAACTCCCAAGTAGAAAACCTACATTTAAGAGCAAGTGTGCATTTTTAAAATGTAAACTATAGATACAGCAAATATATTTTGAAAGACAGAACATCTGATTGTACTATAAAATAAATATCTGACATATTAATTTTTAGAATATATTTTTAATCTATGTAAAATGTTATCTTCAGTCATGACACACCAATTTATCATGCATTGCCATGCCATTACTAGATATTCTTGGACCTCAAAAGTGAGCCAAACAATGAAAAACAACAAATACAAATCTGTTTTTCAAGGATTTCAGACCTCAGGACCTATTCTAGGGAGTAGACAATTACTAGGAAAATTAAATGAAAATAGAGCACGGTAAGTAGTGATGAGTATTAAGGAGAATCTTCAACAAGGAGTGAAGATAGAGATGCTCAGTGGGACGGTGTAAATTTTAGGCCTGAGGTACAAAGAGACTCACTGGAAGGGTGGCATTGAAGTCAAGAGGTGGTTTTCTGAAGAATATGGATCTCTGGGGAAAACATTAGGCAATGGAAAGAAAAAGTACAGTGTAAGTACATGTTATGGAAAGTGGTTTATTTAAGGAACAAACAGCCAAGAAAGCAGTGCATCTAGAGAGGTTAGCAAGCAGAGAAAAAGTATGAGAAGAAAAAATATCATTAAGTTCTAGAGAATTGTAAGGGTATTTACTTTATGAGGACCCAATGCAATATTTTGTGGAGAGCAATGGCTGTTAACATTTAGTTGCATTAAAATTACCTGAGAGGACAGTCAAAAATATTGCAGAGCTCTCTCTCCAGAATTTCTGATTCGGTAGGCATAAATCTGTCTCCAGAACGTGTTGCTGGACCAATGGCCACACTAAATATCATGGGCTTGGAAGAGTAACATGACATGTTTTAATGCAATTAATCTGGTTTACTTTTGGCAATAGACTAAAGTGGGTCAAGGATAAAAGCAAAGGTGGCAAACTTCTTCCTCTGAAGATTGTGGCTGAATTTATTTTCAGGTTTACATGTTTTAGTTGTATCGTGTTAGTGTGTGTGTGTGGGTAGTGTGTGTGTGTGCTTGTGTGTGTGTGTGCATGATTTTCAAAAGACTATAGAGGCTACTTCCAGGGTAATCCTCAATCATGGTGTGGACTGTGTGTGCACCGTTTTTGCAGAAACCCATCCTCAGGGGCGTGTTGGGGTTTCACCAGTCCTGGGCTGAACATAACTCAGAGGCTTCTGCACAACCTCAGGCCAAAGTCTCTGAGCCATTTACTCCAGGCAATCAGTTTGTCCCATTACCAGATAAAGTTAGTGTATTTAGATGTCTATATTGTAAAGAAATGATTACTTTCTTGGACCTCTGGCTACTTTCTTGAAGAAAGTCATCGTACTTAACTTTAGGTGGGCTGATATGTGATCGACATGCAAGCTGCTTCTGGAGCTAAGAGGCAGAGGCCTAAATGAGACTTTGGTAGGACCAGTGAAACCTACAGCCAGTCAGTCTTTGAGGTTTCCGGGGAGATATCCATTTTCACTTAGCCTTGAGCTCTAGAGATGGAGGCCTTGCTTTCTCTAGCCCACCCCATTTGGTCATGGCTTAGTGGAATTTGTGACAGCCCTTGCAAACCTCCAAGAGGAGTTTAGCTGGACATTCTTCTGGATTACTTGAAAGACTCAATGGCCCAAGTAATCCCTTGTGGATTACTTGAAAGACTCAACTATGGGCACAATCTGTGTGGCTCCTGCATCAATATATCGTGGAAAGTTCTAGATAATACCTTTTTCAAGTCTGTCTGCCATTTTTACCGCCCAGACGAAAACTTCAGGCAAAATCTCTAGCTTGGTAATTTGACTGAAATTGATAAGATACTACAGATGAGAAAAAACAACAAGAAAACACAGGATAGAATACCAGGTATAATAAATATAATCAATTTCTGGCTTTTCTCTGTGAAAAGAACCTAGAGGTTCTGTAAATACAGTGCAATTTCTCCTCAAAACAATGGAAGCATTACATTTGCCCCATTAAGAATGCTGCCTCCACCACAGGAAAATTCTTAAATGTAGCATTGAATTTGAAGAATAGTGTGGAAGGAATTGAAACAGTGATAAATTTGTAAGCCAACAAATCAATGGAGCTGAAAAAAAATGTAGGAGAGAAGAAATACATTCTGAATCTGAGCAACTTAAATTGTTTTTACTGAGTGATCAAGAGACTATTATTAGGCAGATGCAAGATGAAGGGATGGAAATTATAAAAACTTAAAAACCTTACACAATTCTCAGATCATGTATTCACATTAAAATATCTAGGGAGGGAGGTAGAAAGCACATATGTGCACTCTGAACTGGAATTACTGAAGTTACAAATATTCACCTGAATGATAGAAACTCAAAATATCCTAATTTATTTTCATTTTGATTAAAAAAATATGAATTCTGTCTTCTACAATATTCTGGGTTGGATGAAATTATTAAGCTATTTCAAGCAGATGTGATTATGTATCTTGAAACAGCACATCCTCACCTTAACATCTTTGAGTATAGAAAAATTATGTAATATGGAAAGAAAAAACACAATCTTTATTATAAAACAAGAAAGCTTTTTTTCTGCTCTGCTGTCCAGATTCTAAGAAATGTAATTATGGCAGGCATTACTGGGAGGTAAAATTGAGTAACAACCCTAAATGGATGTTGAGGGGTTCTCAAGACTGTCTTGCTCAGAAATGACAGAATCAGCTATTATTTCTGGGTGTTCTTGTGCAATTGGGGGATATGCTCAGAGCAGTTATATTGTATTGAGTCGAAGAGAATCCGGCTTCTTCCAATAATAAGACCCAGTAAGATGGGCATTTTTCTATACTATGAGTTTGGTGAGGTTCCCTTTAATATTAAGAATTTACAGATTTCTTCTGTACACTTTTAATGGTTATTTTACAGAAGCCTTTTGACTTTATTTTTATACTAGAACAGATTTCTGAAGCTCTTAAAAATCTTTTTGGTAACAGACTATGGAAGACAAAGTACCTGGAACACAACTGTTTCTTTTCATTTTCTTTCCGTTTGCAGGTATAACTTAGCCAGTAAATTTAGTCACAGTGATTTTGATTCGTTTTAAGTTTTACACCTAAAAAACCAGAATAGATTCTTTTTCCTCATTTTCAGCAACTATAAATACATGGTAGCAATACAAATTTCATAGACGCTTTGGGTGTCTATCATCAAGTGTTTTGAGATTCTGAGACGAAATATTTGAGATTTATATTACTTAGGAAATTTATGCTACTATAATTTTATGTATCAATGTGGCTAGGCTATATCAGAATATTCAATCAAGCATTAGTCTAAATGTTGTTAGTGAAGTTATTTTTTAGAGAAGACTAATATTTAAATCAGTAGACTCAGAATAAAGCAGATTATTCTTCATAATAGAGGTGGGCCTCAACCAATTAGTCAAAAGATTTAAGAGAAAAAAAAGACAGAAATCCCCTGAGGAAGTGAAAAATCTCCCTACAGTCAACCTTCTGGAGACTGGAGCTGCAACACCAACTCTTCCCTGGGATCTCCAGTCTGCTGCTATTCTCTGCAGATGCTGGACTAGCCAGCCTGTGCAACTGGGAGAACTAGTTCCTTACAATAGATCCCTCTTTCTGTGTATATATCCATATATTGATATATACACATATACATATACACACATACATAAATACACATATATATTCTATTGGTTCTGTTTCTTTATCAAACCTTGATTAATACAACATCTTGTACTCTTTTTAATTAAAAAAATACAATATTGCTGGGTGCGTTGGCTCACGCCTGTAATCCTAGCACTTTGGGAGGTGAAGGTGGGCAGATCACAAGGTCAGGAGATCAAGACCATCCTGGCCAACATAGTGAAACCCCATCTCTACTAAAAATACAAAAATTAGCTGGGTGTGGTGGCATGTGCCTGTAATCCCAGCTACTCAGGAGGCTGTGGCAAGATAATTGCTTGAACCTAGGAGGCAGAGGTTGCAGTGAGCCGAGATCGCACCACTACACTCCAGCCTGGCGACAAAGCGAGACTCCATATCAAAAACAAAAACAAAAACAAAAACAAAAACAAAAACAAAACAAAACAAAACAGAATGAGCTTGTATGGTATTACTTATTTAGACCCTCTTTTCTGGAAATTTTAGCCTTTAAGAAGCCTTCACAGAAGAGAAACACCCGTCCTCGATGCCTTGCTTTAAAATAGTCAAAGCAAACAATCAGTGATTTTGTTAGGTGGGAAGACTTTTAGATAGAATCACTGATCTAAAAAAAAGACTCAGATAATCACGAAACATGATGAAACACTGCTACACAGCATTTATACCTGAAATTACAATGCTTGCTAGGAAATTATGGACATCTATGCATTGGAATTAAGATATCTCAGGGGAGCCTCAGGAGTGGGAACAATGTGATCTGAAAACTACTTCTGAGGTGTGCTACATCTCACCCTGACCAGTCCTTATGTATTTTTCCACTATGATTAAACAATGTTAGATTAGAATGCATATTGATCTTTGTGATGACATTTCACAAAGAATATTAGTCATACCAGATAAACATATCTTTTAAAGTTGTTTAGATCCATGCCCTTTGAAGCAATTTTTTATGGCTTGATAAGATGAAAATAAAATCAACATTTTCCACTAACAATAAAAGCTTAAAGCATATACCTCGGCTTTAGATAGTGATTTTAAGAATTTGGGGAATTCGGCTGGGTGCAGTTGCTCATGCCTGTAATCCCAGCAGTTTGGGAGGCCGAGGCGGGTGGATCACCTGAAGTCGGGATTTCTAGACCAGTCTGGCCAACATGATGAAACCCCGTCTCCACTAAAAAAAAAAATACAAAAAATTAGCCGGGCTTGGTGGCTGGAGCGTGTAATCCCAGCTACTCGGGAGGCTGAGACAGGAGAATAGCTTGAACCTGGGAGGCGGAGGTTGCAGCGAGCCAAGATCATGCCACTGCACTCCAGCCTGGGCAACAAGAGCGAAATTCTGTCTCAAAAAAAAAAAAAAAGTATTTGGGGGATTCAAATAGTATGTTTAAGGAATAATTATGAAATTCAGTGTCAATAAAGTCCACAATGTAAAATAAATAAGTCAACTGATGTTTAAAAGGGTTATGAGTCCAACAAAACACCAAGTGTTATGAACAAGAAGTTGTTAATATTATCCTTTTGGGAAAGGCTAGATGCAAGAATCTACATAAACAGAAATTCGTCAATTAAGGCAAAATAAGCTACAATTAGCTATTCTTCTCAATATCTTGCTTATTAAAAAAATAATAGGAGGAGGTCAATAATTTGTGTCTGTTGACTGTTACTTCTTTTATGTACATCAGAGCCCTTATCCATTTAACATATTTTCTAGCATAAAGACCATTGCAAAACTGCTATTCATTTCCCAGTTTGGTAAATATGAAAGTTATGAGCGATCTTCCTTTAACCGCCTATCGCATACATGGTACTTGACGGTGGTAAAATATCGTCATTAAGACCTTAGTTTGCAGAACCATTAGACCAAAAGCCAAAGTAAGTGTGTGAACTCACAATAGTAGCCACCCCTCAACCCCTGTAGTTACTACAGTTGGATATTCATTTGGATTGTGTTCCTTATTTAGGCATGTAATTGCCTTTTATGTGGAATCATTGCAATGCATTCAATATTGTTAAAAGTCATTTGTGACAACAAGAGCATAAGTGTTAAGGCTGAGTTTATACTTTGATTATCTGATGTCAGATTTTCATGCAAACAATGACATTATCTGCACAATACAACTTTTCCTGACTTTGCCCTTTTTCTCCCTTCATTTCCTGTTAGTTTACTTGCAAAGTGTTTTTGCCATCTGCAATTGGTGGCTGCTGTACTATAATAAATCAGAGTTCTAAATAAGAACTTTTCAAACGGATTCAGAGAGAATTTGGTATCTTGGCTTGTCAGATACAAAGCTTTGAGGATAACTTGTGTAATTTGCTATTTTATAAACTAGAAAAATTGAGAGTTCCAGAACCCAGAAAAAGAAAACAACAACAACAACAACAAAGAAGAAAGGATGAGAGCTAAGACAGAGGAAGTCACAGAGAGAAATATAGACAACAACCTGGTTCCTATGTACATTTGTCCTTGATATTCAACCATTTTTCTTAACTTGAGTTTTATGATATGTCCAAGAATATTTTTTATCTTTCTTTTCTTAATTCTGTCACGTGCAAATGAATGACATTCTAGACACTGTCATTTCCCTCATTCTAAAACACAATCATTGGCCACAATTGAGAAACTTTCAACAATATTTTTACCCACAAGAGGAAATATAAAGTGACTTTTAATAATAGGTGGGCAATCACTTAAGATGTTGAGAAAAGTTTTGGCCATCCACTTATTTTTTAATGCTGTATTCAGAGAGCATTATTTGATGTTGAAATTCTAATTTTCATGTATCTGTACTTGTATGCTGGCATAGGCTAATATATGTTATTGCTCACTAATCATCACTTCTTATGACTATTGCTTCTCTTGCATTTAACCTGATAATTGTTTTGTCATGCCAATAATGTACAATTCTTTAAATAAACTAGGGAAAGGATTAACCCACTTTCCTTGATCACAAGCAGGGAGATATTTTTCACTTTCTCAGCCCATCACTGGGTAAATCTGGAGTGGTTCTAACACCTCAGCACATTTTTCAATGGGGCTAAAACTAGAGCCCTGAGTCAATGTAATATTGCATTTCAATCACCATCTTAGTTTGTATTTTATACTATTAATTTTGAACAGAGAAGAGGAAAAGTTTTCATCCACCATCATCAATATCAAACATTGTTTCAGGAAGATGATAAAGTATGATCAGTGAGATGATGTAAATTTAGTGGAAATGTAATTTAGGGGGCTATTGCATTTGTAGTAAGATTATAAAGTCATTCATGTATATGATGAATACAACATGATGACATGGGTTGACAGAGGAGGAGAATGGGACAAGATACCTCAATCTTCAATAATGGATTTTTTCATTAATCTGTGTAATGTATGAAAAATGTCTTCTATATTTTGGCTTTGACTTTTGAATTTAATAAAAAATATAACATATTTGAAATTCATTTTACAAAACAGTATATGAAGTATGATTTCATGCTTATGTTGTACAAAATAAATTTAAAATGCTAAAAATAGTAATGTTAATTTTCTATACACAGACACATTTTCCCAATATCTAAACTTTTATTGTTTATATTATTTTAACTTTACTCTTATGAATACTTTCTATTTTTAAGACAAAGATATTAGTCCATTCTCACACTGCTATAAAGAACTACCTGAGACTAGGTAATTTATAAGGAAAAGAAGTTTAATTGGCTCACGGTTCCACAGGCTGTACAGGAAGCATGGCTGGGGAGGCCTCAGGAAACTAACAATCATGGCAGAAGGTGAAGGGGAAGCAGGCACATCTTACATGTCCAGAGCAGGAAGAAGAGAGCAAAGAGGGAGGTGCTACACACTTCTAAACAACCAGACCTAGTGAGAACTCACTCACTATCACAAGAACAGCAAGCAGTAAATCTGCCCATGATTCACTCACCTTCCACCAGGCCCCCCCTCCAACATTGGGGGACACAAACCCAAACCATATCAACAAACAAACCTGCCTTTTATAAAATTTAAAATTAAGTCAAAGACAAAATAATAACATTGGTGAGAATGAATGAAATAGGCAATATCATACATGTGTAGGATCTTCTGGTATAATAGTTAAAACAGTTATTGTATGCATGCAAATGTTTAAAATGTATTTTATTTGATATTTATATTTATATATTATACACTATAGATAATGTATAGCATATAATGTATAAAAATTATTGCATATATTGAATATATTGTGTATATTATTCATATATATTAAAATAAATACTATATGCTATTATAACAGTGTGATAGAGATGTTATATGTAAATAATTAAAATATTTAAGGGGAGATTTGAAGATATTTTTAAAAAGTCAAATCTCAATTAATTTCTCTCTAAGGGTTTAACATAAACGTCACGAGAAACCTTTGAAAAATATTTTAGTAGATTTTTACACATTAAGAACAAAACATAATTATGCAACTTTTAAGATGGTTTATTATCAGGGGAAATTCAGCCAGATATCAGGCAAAGTTCACCCCCGATATTTCATGTAGGTTCTTTTCTATTTTCCCTAAGTGTCAGCTGGTTTGAGAAATAAAGGGACAGAGTACAAAAGACAGAAATTTTAAAGCTGGGCATCCAGGAAAGACATCACATGTTGGTTGGTTCCGTGATGCCCCACAAGCCACAAAACCAGCAAGTTTTTATTAGGGACTTTCAAAAGGGGAGGGAGTGTATGAATAGGTGTGGGTCACAGAGATCACATACTTCACAAGGTAATAGAATATCACAAGGCAAACGGAGGCAGGGCGAGATCACAGGACCACAGGACCGGGGTGAAATTAAAATTGCTAATGAAGTTTTGGGCACCATTGTCATTGATAACATCTTATCAGGAGACAGGGTTTCAGAGCAACCGGTCTGACCAAAATTTATTAGGTGGGAATTTCCTTTTCCTAATAAGCCTGGGAGCGCTATGGGAGACTGGGGTTTATTTCATCCCTACAGTTTCGACCACAGAGGACAGCCATACCCAAGGGGGCCATTTAGAGACCCCCACCCTCAGGGGCGCATTCTCTTTCTCAGGGATGTTCCTTGCTGAGAAAAAGAATTCAGCGATATTTCTCTCATTTGCTTTTGAAAGAAGAGAAATATGGCTCTGTTCTGCCTGGCTCACCAGCGGTCAGAGTTTAAGGTTATCTCTCTTGTTCCCTAAACATTGCTGTTATCCTGTTCTTTTTTCAAGGTGCCCAGATTTCATATTGTTCAAACACACATGCTCTACAGTTTGTGCAGTTAACGCAATCATCACAGGGTCCTGAGGTGACATACATCCTCCTAGGCTTACGAGATGACAGGATTAGGGGATTAAAGTAAAGACAGGCCTAGGAAATCACAAGGGTATTGACTGGGGAAGTGATAAGTGTCCACGAAATCTTCACAATTTATGTTTAGAGATTGCAGTAAAGACAGGCATAAGAAATTATAAAAGTATTAATTTGGGGAACTAATAAATGTCCATGAAATCTTCACAATCCACGTTCTTCTGCCATGGCTTCAGCCGGTCCCTCTGTTTGGGGTCCCTGACTTCCTGCAACAGTTTATAATTACATATTTTAAAATACATACGTTGAAGAAAAATATGAGGGGCCAGTGCTAAGGAGATAGTTAAACAGGACAGGAAGGAGGCCAGAATGTTAATATACTAAAAGATGCAAATAAATATTGAATAATTACTGTGGTTACATTTATGAGTACTTTAATCCTAGTACTTTTCTTGGTTTTACTTCTTTAATATTTAACAGTTGTGTGTCCTTGAGTAAATTGCTTAAGTCTCTGCTGCGGCTTCTTTCTATATAACATAAATATAATTGTACCTACCAAATGGACTTCTTTTGAAAATAATTGATAAAATATAACGCAATTGTGGTGTAAGGTTATATACATAACATTGCTTTTTCTTCCCCGGTTCCTTGTTCCTAACACCCATAGCCCTTGTTATAATTGATGTTGCATGTGCCTGGCCTCAAGAGCAGGCCTCAGGAATGAGAATCTCTCTGACCTACTCCTACCCTCCTTTCACCTGCCCCATAGCAGGACTTTAAACTTCCGCTGCCTGCCTTTCTGATTGCAGGTCATAAGACTCCCATTCTAGAGAAGAACCTGCCCCATACCCTTGGAGAAAGAATGCTGACATCATGAAGCTTCCATGAAAACCCAAGAGGACTGGGTTCAGAGTGCCTCCTGATAACCAAACCCATGGAGGTTCCTGGAGGGGGGTGCACCCAGAGGTGACATATAAATGCTGCCCTGTCCCCCATACTTTGCCCTGTGTATCTCTGCACCTTTATCTTTTAGAATATCCTCTAGAATAAACTGGTAAATGTCAGTGCTTCTCTGAGTTCTGTGAACTGCTCCAGTAAATTAAACATAAAGAGGGTTGTAGGAAACCCAACTTGAAGCCAGTTGGTCAGAAGTTGCAGAGGCTTAAACTTGTTACTGGTGTCTGAAGAAGGGTCAGTTTGGGGGACTGAGACCCCAGCCTGTAGGATCTGACATTATCTCCAGGTAGACAGTGTTGGAATTGAATGGAGAAAACCCAGTTGCTGTCCACTGCAAAACTGATTGCTTGCTTGCTGGTGGGAAGATATTGCCACATATTTTGAGGTCACAGAAGTCTTCTATGTTGTTGTGCTGGTGTGAGATCACAAGGAAAACACAGTTTGAGAGCTTTTCCAAAACTACAACACAGTATAATTCAATAGTCCAAAAAGAAAGCAAAAAATAAAAGTTTGATACATAATTACAATAAAAATATTTTTCTACATCATTTGCATTATTTTTATAATTAGAAAAGATATCTGAGCTAAGATTATTCTATCATTTATCTAATATCAAGCTTCTTTGATATCATTGGTTCAATTTAGGATTTGGAAGTATATTTTGCCTCCCTGGCAACTCACTATTGTTAGTTGCAGAATTTTTATCATGTTCGTGATTGG
Organism: Homo sapiens; assembly: GCF_000001405.40. Taxonomy (NCBI): domain Eukaryota; kingdom Metazoa; phylum Chordata; class Mammalia; order Primates; family Hominidae; genus Homo; species Homo sapiens. The sequence continues at coordinate 89,241,144 of NC_000013.11, read as the reverse complement.
TCAATGAGTTCCACTATGTGCTTATATATTTAATTGTATTTTTACATATAATTTATATTAAAAAGCTTTATGTAAGGGTAAATCCTTGCTACTGCTCTTGCTAAGGGAGAAAGGCCATAAATCGGTGATTAGGCCTGTTGATGGCCCATTCACACAGTCATATGCTGCATAATGACGTTTCAGTCAAGTAGGGACTGTATATACACTGGTGGTCTCATAAGATTATGATGTAGCTGAAAAATTCCAAGTATCTTGAGACATCATAGCCATCTTAATTTTGTAGCAGAATCCATTACTCATGTGTTTGTGGTGATGCTGGTGTTAATAAACCTATTGTTCTGCCAGTGGTATAAAAACAGGACACATGAGATCATGGACAGTCCACAATACTTGATAATGGTAATAAATGATAATGTTACTAGTTTATGTATTTAGTATATTTTATTTTTATTTTATAGTGCACTCTTTCTACTTATAAAAATTGTGAACTGTAAAACAGCTTCAGGTGGTATTCCAGAAGGAAACATTACTATCATAGGAGATGATGGCTCCATACATATGGTCCCTGAAGACCTTCCAGTGGGGCATGATGTGCCAATGGAAGACAGTGGTAATGATGATTCTGACCCTATGTGGTCCTAGGCTAATGTATGTGTTTGGGTCTTAGTTTTTAACAAAACAGTTTAAACGTTTTTTAAATACAAAAATAAAAATAGGAATATAAAGAAAAAATATTTTTGTTAAGTTGTATAACTTGTGTTTCAAGCTGAGTTGTTACAAAAGAGGCAAAAGTTTTTTAAAAAAGTTTTAAAGTTTATAAAGTAAGAATAGTTTAAATAAGCTAAGGTTGATTTATTATTGAAGAAAAAACTAAATAAATTTTGTGTATCATAAGTATACCATGTTTATAAAGTCTACAGTAGTGTACAGTAATGTCCTAGGCATTCACATTCACTCACCCCTCACTGTCTGACACCCAGAGCAACTTCCAGTCCTGCAACCTCTACCCATTGTAAATGCCCTATACAGGTGTACCATTATTTGTATTTTATGCTATATTTTTATTGTAACTTTTATGTGTTTGGATATGTTTAGATATGCAAATAGTTACAATTGCCTACAGTATTCAACACAGTAACATACTGTGCAGCTTTGCAGCCTAGGAGTAATAGGCTAAACCATACGGATACAGCCTAGATGTGTAGTAGCCTATCCTATCTAGGTGTGCTTAATTACACTCTATGATGTTTGCACAATGACAAAATCATCTAATGACATACTTTTCAGAATGTATCTTTGTTGAGTGAATCATGAAGATAAACTGTTCCATCCCAGGAGGAGACAGTGCACTCAAACATGGAAATTCTTGGGCTCATGAAAATTGTTTTTTTTAAGGAGTATTAGATAACACTTTTTATGAAATACCAAAATTGCTATTTTGATAACTTTTTTCTTTTTGTTATCAGAAAAATCAATCAATCTTTGAATTTTTTGCCTTACTAAATTAGAAAAGTGAGTATCCTCTGTGTTTTGTAATATCCTGTTGGCTCATAGACTTTGAAATGTGTTGTTGAAATACACTCCATAATAGTGGAGAGAGAAACAATGAGACAGCTTTAGGAAAGTCATCCACAGCTGCCTAAAGACATGGTCTATGCAGACAGTGTTTTCAGTTCCCTTGCTCACCATTTCTTTTTATCCTAATGTTTCATGTTCCAGTTGCCTCCTTGCCCATTGTGGAAAATGTTGGGTGAAAGAAGTCATAATAAGGAAAGATATCAATATATAAACCATGTGTTTTTTAAGTCACTTAAATCCACATTAACTTCTTAATGAAGAAAAATAATTTGTTGTTCTAAAAGACAGCTTGTAGATAACGGGTATCTATTTGATCACCTAGCAATGATGTAGGAACTCAGTGTTCAGTTAATCAGATATTATTCAGGTAAGTAGAAGAGACTAAAAAAAAACTTAATAAAAAATTTATCTATACATACTAATGATTTTTAGGACAAACTGCTGGGTTTCAGGTTAAATGAGTTATGCATTTAGTGTACATGTATTTAAGATATGTACTAAGAGAAGACAACAAAAAAAAATGGAAGAAAAGAACGAAAGTTAGGATGGAAGGAGAGAGAGGAAAGGATGAAAGAAGTGGTAATGTAACAGAGACAAGTATTTAACATGATTCATGAATTATTTTATTCAATGAGCATACGCCATGGAATGAAAATGAGATGGGAGATGTTACGTGCCTTTGCCTTCATTCAATTTTGTCTCCTGTGTGTCTCACAGTGTGACATTCTCACTTTCCTGAGTGTGAATCCAATATTTAAAGATACAGTGAAAATTATTTTGTTCATGCCCCCTAAACACAAACTACTTTATAATGGACTCAGCCAAGAAGCTGTGATCTGTTCTGTTGCAGGCAGAAAAACCAGGTGTGACAGACTTGTTGGTACATGTCCCTAAATGTACTTCACGGCTTATTTAAGAGAGTGCCAGAGAGTAATGTTGTATAAGAAATTTCTGGGCCATGCGTGGTGGCTCACGCCTGTAATCCCAGGACTTTGGGAGGCTGAAGCGGGTGGATCGCCTGAGGTCGGGAGTTCAAGACCAGCTTGGTCCCTACTAAATATACAAAAAAAATTAGCCAGGAGTAGTGGCAGACACCTGTAGCCCCAGCTATTTGGGAGGCTGAAGCAGGAGAATCCCTTGAACCTGGGAGGCGGAGGTTGCAGTGAGCCAAGATCGCTCCACTGCACTCCAGCCTGGGTGAAAGAGTGAGACTCCATCTCAAAAATAAAAATAAAAATAAAAAAAGAAAAAAAAGAAAAAAAGAAAAAGAAAAAGAAATTTCTGCCTAACCAGAAGATGTTAGGACCTAATTAACATGTGCATAGCGCAAAGTCTCCCATCTGGTAGCACACAGCTTCTGAAAAGCCATATGTTTATAAAGTTTGGGCTACAATTATTTGTTAGTTTCAGCATCAGTTATTATTTATTCCACTTCAGTTATATATTTAATATCCATCCATTTCTCACCACTCACATGCCCTCTTTCTAAGGCAGCCTGGCTTCTGTCCAAGCAGGAGTACTGCACAGGTTTCTGAGTTAGTGCTCCTGTTTCATTCTTGCTAATACTGACACGGGCATAGCATGTTTAAAGGCAATATATGCCTGTGCCTACTCCTCTGCTTGAAGCTCTTGATTTACTTCACATTGTTGTTATGGTGAAGTATGGACTATTTATTATGACTTACAGATTATTACTGAAGTCCTTGAAGCATGATAAATGCCATGTGCATGTTTTTTTTTAAATAAAGTAAATATAGGTAGTCCTGTGTCTGGACTCTGACCCTCAAATCTAGTCTATTTTATACCTAGACTTATTTTTTTTCTAAGATGAAAATATACTGATTCCACTAGCCTGGTATATCATGTCTGTAGTATACTTTCATGCTTTCTTTCAACAAATCTAAGCTTATTTCTCACGTTTTCTATTATCCACACATCAACTATTGCTAAATATTTTTAAAGCAGTCTACTTTTTTACATCTCCATGAAAATAAAAATGCCCATTATCATTTGCTTTCTTTCCTAACACTTAATATTTCCCTAAACTATAGCTCTCGATTAAGTTCTCTCCTACATAGTTAGAATTACAATTAGTAAACAAATAGAATTCTACATATGCCTCTATTTGAATATATTTTTATTAGCATTCTACATATGCCTCTATTTGAATACATTTTTATTAGAATACTACATATGACTGTATTTGAATATACTTTTATTTGAATTCTACATATGCTTGGCTATTCTTGGTGTTTTTCAAAATTCAGTTTGAAAGGATGGAATTCATTGCCTTCCAAATTCTCTCCAGATTCATTTCCTCCTTTTTATTTCCCTAATTATTTGCTTATGGTTCCACCAGTATGTACTCTTGAGAAATGGTCATGTATGTGCTGAAGGAGATGTGCACAAGGATTACATAGATACATATGTTATAACATGAAGAAATTGTTGAAATATTTACTTTAAATTAAAAACTCATTTTAAAATAATAGCATTAAAGACATTTAGATAAAATACACAAAGAGACAGATATGTCTCATAGGTGCTTACCTCCTTTCTATATACCTTAGTAAGGTTTTCAATACAATAAGAAATGTAGGGAATTTGAATCTAGGCAAAATGAAGCCATGGCCCATGATTCTTCTTTACAATGTGGCTTCTATCTGGACAGATGGGACACCAAACATTTGATAGAAGATTATTAATATGAGTGGTAGTAGGACAGAAAGACTGTCACATATTTTTGAGGTATGTATTTTATGAAGCATAGAGTCCATTGAAAATTCATAAAAGCTCCCTTATGGTGATTTCTTTCAACCACCTGATGCTTATGGCAACAATATAGTTGTTAAAAGTGCGTGGATGACACTTTTAATGTTCATGGAGGGTTGTTGATTTCTAAAATTAAATAGTTATAATAAATATGCAGGCTTACACGAGTTAACAGATTTGATTGCGCTACCATGATTAAATGGTTTCTTTAGGGAAATATTGCTGAATATTTTTGTTTGTGTTAATTTGTAGACCTGTAACTTGGAGATACCTTAAAGTACCTATTATAACATGCTGGCCATACTGTAAAAATTAAGGTAGCATACAAATGTCAAAAATTGTGATTTTTAATATTAAGAAAGATGTTGAAAATAAATGCATATTGTGATCTTATTCTAGGAAAATGTGAATAAAAATCAGAGACATTGTATCTTTTTCTAAAAGCACTGATGGGAAAGTCTTGAAATAAGAGGTATAGTTTAAGAAATTAAGGGCATTATCAGCTCATTTCTATAGTTTTGTTAATTCAAAGTTCATGGTAGAGCACTAGAGCTTATAAATACACAATACAATTGGATGCATTGAGAATATTTCTTCATGAGTTAATCAAAGCAATTTAAAGCAGGTTACCTACCTCAAGCACGCTGGCCAAGGTTGTTAGAAAAATGGCTTGGGAAGTTTTAAACTTAGAAATAATGAGTTACACAAAATCCCAAGAATGAAACAGTAAATAGTGGAACGGTGTGCTGTTATTTTTTTTTCCCATTAGTTCTTCTACTTAACTCTCTAATAATAAAGCTAGCAATAATGAATTATATTCATTTTATCTAGTTATAAATGAGGGCAGAATGCAATGAAAGTTCAAATACAGCAGAAAAGCAAGGGAGGGGGATATTACATTTTTTTCCTAATTTTAATTACTCTTTTAAGAAATGATTTTCCTAAAACTTTATTTATTGAAAGAGTGAATTAAGGTCACAGATTTATTTGCTAACATAGTTATCTGCTACATAGCCAAATATTGGTAAACACTGGGTTAAATTACTGTAATATTTAATTGAATCTTAACTAATTTTAACAATTATCACTTAAAATTCAAATTAAATTTGATCACCATATTCTGTCCACATGAAGGAAGGGAGGGAGTAAAATAGGAAAAGAAGGAAGGGAGACAGGAAGAAAAAGAAGAAAGGAGAAATATATAATTACCATGAAATACATAAAAACATAAAAATACTAGCAGATAAACTAGCTCAAATAAAAACTATCAAGCTGTTTAAATATCACATAAATTAAACAAAGTTAGTCAATTAAGTAAGCAATTGAAATAATTATTGATTTTGAATAGTACCTGTATTAGTCCGTTTTCATGCTGCTGATAAAGACATACCCGAGACTATGTAACTTATAAAGAAAAAGAGGTTTAATGGACTCACAGTTCCAGGTTCCTGGGGAGGCCTCACAATCATGGTGGAAGGTGAAAGGCATGTCTTTTACATGGCAGCCAGCAAAGAGAGAATGAGAGAGGAGTGAAAGTGGAAACCCCTTATAAAACCATCAATTCTCATGATATTTATTCACTACCATGAGAACAGTATGGGGGAAATCGTCCCCATGATTCAATTATCTCCCACCAGGTCCTTCTCACAACACGTGGGAATTCTGAGAACTAAAATTCAAGATGAGATTTGGGTGGAGACACAGCCAAACTATAACAGTACCTTTGAAACACTATTTTATTTTGGTAAAATAAGACATAAGTCCTTTTACATATAATTCTACATAGAAGATCCTCATCAATATTAGACATTCTATAAACATATTAATGAAAGGAATATGCTTTTTATTGAAATCTTGACCACATCACTGGTTATCACATGCTTTTCTAAAGAGATTGTCAGCTATAAAGCTACTACATGATAATAGCTTAATAAATAGGTTTAGTGACACATCATTTAAGTTAAAATGCTTTCATTTCTTTTAGTTCTTAAAATGTATTCACATATGGAACTATAATTAACTTTTAAAATAGTTCAAGTATTTGATTTAATAAATAATCTAGAATGTTTTTTGCAGTAAAAATCACATTTATAGGCACATATACAATGTATATAATTATCTTAATCACAAATTAAACTGTATAAAATTTTTCCTATTTTATTATATAGGTTTGTGTATTCACATGTATAGGTATCTAGATACATAGATGAATAAATATAGATACAGCTATAGACATATACAGCTGATGATACAGGAGAACTGATAAAAGTGAGGAATCTGGATGGAGTGGATTTGGATTTCATTCTTGATTTTAAGTCAATAAGGATAAATCATAAACTGCATATATGGTACTTAGCAAGCTTGACAATTAATAAGCAATTCATAAATGATAGTTATCACCATAATCATTATTATATTTAATAATTATTTTGTCCCTTGACTAGAATTTCTGTTTAAGAGAAAAATAACAGTCACAGTTTTGACAGTCACTTAATTTAGTAGGTAGTTTGATGTCTACCATTTAACTTTATATTCATTTCTATATAAAAAAACATTAAGTGATTTACCCAGTACACAAAGCAAAGATGATAGCTGACCTTGGAAGAGAACCAAGAACACCTTTGTATTCATAATGCAGTTTCTTTTTACATTGTCTTTCTATTTTGTCAGGAAAAAAAAGAAATGAGTGAAAGAGGCATGAAGACTGGGTGTCAGAACTGGTTCTAAAATTTACAACTCTGTAAATTATGATACTTTATGGAGAACAATTTCAATTTCATCAGGTTCAATTGGGATAAATAATACTTTTCCCTGTAATGTGCCTAGATTATAAGAAGATGTGATAGTAGTAATTTAGCTTCTAATAGCTTGCTAGAGCTTAATTTGCAATTCATATTTATATATATTATTTGAAAACACACTTGCCAGGTGTTATTATGCTTAAAAGTGAGCTACGCAAGAAAAATATATCCATTATAGTGACTAGCTAAATAGAGGAGGGACGAGTTATAACTGACAGGACAGGTGAAGGCAAATTCTGGAAGTAAATAGTATTTACTCGGGTGTTTGCTTCATAATTATTGGCTAAATTGTATGGTTTGATTCTATGCAGCTTTCCACATTCTTATTTCACAATAGAACATTTAAAAGATTCAAGTAAAAACATATGTAGTATACTATTTATTCTGAGTAATAATCATGTAGCATAATATACAGTCATCTGCCCTTATCCATGAGTGATGTGCTCCAGGACCCCCAGGGATTGCCTGAAATTATGGATAGTGCCAAATCCTATAGATGCCATTATTCCCCTACAGATGCATACCTATAATAAAGTTTAATTAATGCACCAGGAATAATAAGAGATTAACAACAATAACTTACAAAAAACAAAAGAACAATTGTAACAATATGCTGTAAAAAATTATGTAACTGTGGTCTCTCTCTCAAAGTATCTTGTTGTACGGTACTCACCCTTCTTGTGTTGATGTGAAATGATAAAATGCCTCTGACAGCAGCATGGGATGAGAATGACTAAAGGGAGGGACAGCATGAGATTTTATCATGCTTTGCAGAGTGACATGAAGTTTAAAATTTACGAATTAGCTAATTAAACTGGATGAAGGCATGAGAGCAAGTAACAAATGCTTAAGCATATGGAAGTAACAGAGTTGCTAACTCCAAAGAAAAGGCCAAAATTTCCTGTTTCTAATGTGCTAAATTTAGTAATAAAAAAATTATTAGACACAAGTGAGGTCACCATTGTGGCAATCTTGGGAGACACAGATGAAATGTAAATTCTCATTCCTGTAGAATAGGAATTTGGATAAGCACTTTAAGAGCGCTAACCCACAGTTATAGAAAACTGCCTTTAACCTAAAGCATCGATTTATAAATATAAAGATTTCTTTGGATACAAAAACTGATAAGCCCTGGTCTCAGTATAGTCACAATTCGTCTTAAAAAAAGAGACGTCTGAGCTGTAAGAGCATTCATTCCAGGAGCTAAGAGGAAGAGAAAAGGGAAACCAAACAATCCGATTTTTCTATTACCTACTTCTTTGTCTTTCCCACTCCCCAATAAGCCAAGCTTTAACTGCTGATTGTTGTGTCTACTTAAGTAAACTGTTAACATAAGTTTCCACAAGACTGTGATAAACTATTATCCCAAGGGGAAAAGTGATATTGAAAGAGCCCATTTACTTCCATCCAATTTGGAGATTTCAGGCACATTAACACATATGAAGGGGGCAAACATGTTTTCAGCATAAGGAAGGGGAGTATAAGACTGCAAATTGTTACCGTGGGTGGCTGTAAAAGTGCAAAAGATCAGCCTAGAAATGAGGCGAGCAGAAATACCCTTTCTATTCCTTGTGATTTATCTGGAGTCTTCTTTAAGGATATCTCTTAAACACTTACACAAGGTCAAATCTAGAATCTTCCAACCTGATAATTTTTGTTGGTACACTGGTACCTTGGGGCCATCTAAAATGCTTAGTTTAAATTTTGGCATAGTATTACTTTAACCTATAGATTCAAACATTACAAAAGATGCTTTTTTGAGGTTATTATTTTAATTTCTCATTTATATAATATATTATTAAGGCAGTGTAATTTAAGAACTACATTATTAGTGAAATATGTGTACAGACCAAATTTATCTAACAAAGATTTTTTAAAAATACCTCCCTTCACTGTGTCTATTCAAAGGTTGGTAATAATTGATCAAATGCATGTGGAAATGCATCAACTTGCCCTTTTGCACACCAATCAGAACATACACTCATTTTTTAAAATTTCCTGGGTTATATATGAATATAACATATTTAAATAATTTTATTTGTATTGTCAGTAATCAGTTCTTGTTATGTGCAATCTACCTTCCTCTAGTAAAATTAATTACCTAAAATTACAATCACAGGGTAGTTGGCTAGTCTCATTTTTAAGTGAAAATAAATTAAAAATACACAGAAAAATTAGAGGAATTAATTTAATTTACTTTTTCTACATAAAACTATACATGTTCTCCAGTATTATTTTCAGAATTCACTTAATAGTAGTTTATTAGTTTAATTGCAGACCAAGTCTAGGCTGATCAAATACATGAGAAAATGCATCAACTTGCTCTTTAGCACACCAAGCAGAACACAGACTTGTATTTTTATTCTTTAAAAATGGCGCCAATCTTGTCTCTGGACACTGATCAGCACTTAGACCCTTGTCTGTACACAGGGAGTCCTATGCATTAACTTTGAGCCAGTTTATCTTCCTACCATAACAAGAGGTCCTGCCTATTCCCAAGGAACTCTTATTTGTTTAACGTATGCTAACACTCTGGTATTTGCAGTGGAATGGCAAGATTTATCTAGCTAAGGAGGTGCCTAAGTTTAATAACATATAAGTTCCACTGTGGAACTGAGGTAAAATTGGCTGAAGGTGGAATTCTTTGGAGGAGGTAAGTCATCTGAATTTTATTTTTTGAAAAAAATTCAAATTTTATTTTAGATACAGGGTATATAGGTGCAGATTTGTTACATGGGGATACTGCATGATGCTGAGGTTTGGAGTACAGATCTGGTCACCCTGGTAGTAAGCTTAGTACCTGATAGGTAGTTCATCAACCCACTTCCCCTCACTCCACCCTCTAGTAATTCACAGTGTCTTTTGTTTCTGTAGCTATGCTCATATGTTCTGAATGCTTAGCTCTCAGTTATAAATGAGAACATATGGTATTTAGTTGGGTAGTCCTGTATTAATTTGCTTAGGATTATGGCTCTATCCATGTTGCTGCAAAGGACATAATTTTATTCTTTTTTATGGCTGTGTGGTATTCCATGGTTTATATGTACCACATTTTCTTTATCCGATCTAACATTGATGGGCACTTGGGTTGATTCCATGTCTTTGCTATTGTTAATAGCACAGTGATGAACATACAAATGCATGTGTCTTTTAGGTAAAATGATTTTTTTTGGGGGATGTATATATCTAGTAATGGCATTGCTGGGTTAAATGTTAGCCCTGTTTGAAGTTCTTTGAGAAACCTCCAGACTGTGACTTCTGAAATTGAATGACTAATAAAGAACTTGTCAAGCAAAAAAGTTCTGGAGGATGAATTCGCTGCTGAATTCTATCAGACACACAAAGAAGAACTGGTACCAATCCTACTAAAACTAATCTAAGGAATTGGGAAGGATGAGCTCTTCCCTAACCCATTCTGTGTAGCCAGCAACAGCCTGATACCAAAATCTGGCAGAGACTCAACAGAAAAAGAAAATTTCAGACTAATATACCAAATGAACATAGAAGCAAAAATCCTCAACAAAATACTAGCAAATCAAATCCAGCAGCATATCAAGAAGTTCACACACTATGAACAAAAAGGTTTTGTCCCTCAGATGCAAGGCTGGTTCAACATCCAAGAATCAGTAAATGTGATTCACCATATAAACAGAATCAAAAATAGAAACCATATGATCATTTCAATAGATGCAGAGAAAGCATTCGATAAGATGCACGATAAAAATTCTCAAAAGACCAGGCATTGAAAATATGCCTCAAGATAATAAGAGCTGTTTGTGACAAACCTACAGCCAACATCATACTGACAGAGTGAAAGCTCGAACTATCCCCCTTGAGAACTGGAACAAGACAAGGTTGCCCATGCTCACACCTCCTATTCAACGTAGTACTGGAAGTCCTAGCCAGAGCAATCAGGCAAGAGAAATAAATAAAAGGCACCAAAATAGGAAAAAAAGAAGTAAAACTATCTTTCTTCACTGATGATATAATTCTATAATTAGGAAATGCTAAAGACTGTGCCAAAAGACTCCTAGAATTGATAAACGACTTTAATAAAGTTCTAGGATATAAAATGAATGTATAAAAATCAGTAGAATATCTGTGCACCAACAATGTCCAGACTGAGTGAAACCAAGAACACAATCCCACTTATAATAACCACAAAAAATAGAAATACCTAGAAATATATATAACCAAAGAGGTGAAAGATCTCTGCAACAAGAACTGCAACACATTGCTGAAAGAAATCAGAAATTACACAAATAAATGGAAATACATTCCACTATTGATTGGAAGAATCAATATTTTTTAAATGGCCATAATGCACAAAGAAATCTATCAATTCAGTGCTATTCCAATCGAACTACCAACATCATTCTTCATAGAATTGGAAAAAAATTATTCTAAAATTTATATAGAACCAAAATAGAGCCCAAACAGACAAAGTAATCCTAAGTGAAAAGAGCAAAGCTAGAGGCATCACCCAATCTGTCTTCAAATTATACTATAAGGCTAAATTAACCCAAATGGCATGGTACTGGTACAAAAACAGACCCATAGACCAATGGAACAAAATAGAAAACTGTGAAAGAAAGCTATACACTTACAATCATCTGATCTTCAACAAGGTCAACAAAGACAAGCAATGGGGAAAGGACACCTTATTCAAAAAATGGTGCTGGGATAATTGGCTAGCCATATGCAGAAGATTGAAGCCAGACCTTTGCGTTACACCATATATAAAAGTTAACTCAAAATGTATTAAAAATTTAAATGTAAGACTTCAAACTATAAAAATCCTGAAAGACAAAAATAGGAAATACTCTTCTCGACATCAAGCTTGGCAAAAGTTTTTTTGCTAAGTCCCCAAAAGCAATTGCAGTGAAAACAAAACTAGACTAGTGGGACCTAATTAAATTAAGAGCTTCTTCCCAGCAAAATAAACTATTAATAGAGCAAACAGACAACCTACAGAATGAGAGAAGATATTTGCAAACTATGCATCTGACAATAGCCTAATATCTAGACGCTCTAGGGAACTTAAAACAACAAGCAAAAAACAAATAACTCCATTAAAAATGGGCAAAAATTATGAACAGATAATTCTCAAAAGAAGATATACAAATGACAACAAACATATAAAAAATGCTCAGCATTATTAATCATCAGAGAAATGCAAATCAAAACCACAAAGAGATGCTATCTCACACCCATTAGAATGGCTATTACTACAAAGTCAAAAAACAAATGCTGGTTAGGCTGCCGAGGAAAGGAAATGCTTATACACTGTTGATGGGAATGCAGTTTCTTAAGTCACATGAGATACCCATGTTATTTCTTATGTAGATTCACTGAATTAGGCTGATAACCCCAACTGCATAATTATTTTTTGTACCCAATATTCATTCACAAAATTTTTTCTTTCATCTTAGAATCAATACATGGGCTAGATATTCTGAAAGGTTTGAGGACCATGGCACAAATATGTGGACAAAAGAAAAATAAATTTTTGTTATAACTACAGTATATTTTTCACTTTTAAGAGAAATGTTTTATCTGCCCTTTAAGAAAGCATAATGGTTTGTTTATTTATTTATTTATTTATTCTGAGACAGAGTCTCATTCTGTTGCCCAGGCTGGAGTGCATTGGCACGATCTCGGCTTATGGCTACCTCCGTGTCCAGGGTTCAAGTGATTTTCATGCTTCAGCCTCTCGAGCAGTTACAGGTACCCATGATGGCACCTGGCTAATTTTTGTATTTTGGGTAGAGATGGGTTTCACCATGTTGGTCAGGCTGGTCTCGAACTCCTGACCTCAAGTGATTCGCCCGCCTTGGTATCCCGAAGTGCTGGGATAACAGGCGTGAGCCACTGTGCCCAGCCACATAATGGTTTATTTTATATTATTTACTACTTTCATATTTTGCATATAATGGTGATGATTTTAGAGCTCATCAGAAAGAAAACCCTATTTAAAATTACTACGTGATGTTTTATTGACAAGGCACAGTGGACTTCTACACACACATGCCCACATCACACAGAAACATATATTTTACCTTCCAATTTACAATAAAAGAGTAATGAAATATAAATTATAGAATATCTTTAAAACAAAGAATTAGCTAAGATATTTTTCTCTTAGCTGTTGCCATTGAATGACTTTTGATGTAATCTATGATTGATGTAGAATTGACCACCTTGTTCTCTTTAAAACTTCTTTTTACCAAACCTAATTTCTTGATTCCATTCTGTATTTAAAGCTCAGCTATGTATATTAATCAAACTGACCTCGCCCAAAATAAAACGGAAATATACATAATTTGGACATATGGTTTTGCTCTTACATTCCACATTAGATATGTCATTTGTATTTGAAGCACGATATTGACCTCAAATTATGAATCACTCATACAAATATATGGCATTCCCCTGTCTCTGGCCCAGCTTTAGCGCTGCCAACCAGCCATTTAAGTTAACACAATGAAACAGCATAAATGATATTGTCCACTGTTTATTTGTAATTACTTAATTCACATTTTCCAAGGATATAGGTAACAAAAACTTGTGGGCCTTCTGTGATGGATGACTCTCAGTGTAATATTTGATTACTTCAGAGGACATCTCATCATAACTTGGCTTCATTTCAGAACTTTTTTTTAGGATGAGAGTAAAGAAAACATAAAATGCAGTCAACAGGAAGATAAAATTGATTTTCAAGCCAAGATAAAACTATAAGTCATTCACCCCTCATAATCATGACAAGGTTTTAAATACACATCAATCCCTAAAATATTTTAGAGAAAAAAGGGAAATTAGCACTAAATAGAACAATAGTAATTTTTTGGAGAACAAAAATGCAGCAAATAAATGAAATATGATGTTCAAATATAGAATAAAGTAAGGTTATTGGTTTAGAGGCAGGGTTGAAAACCATGGCACATAATACATACAGGGGACTATTTGCACCAGGTTATCCTAAAGTAATTGAAACTGAATTTATTTTTTAAGTAATTATCTAAGTAAGAATATATATATTAATATAATATGTAATATTCATATATTAAAGGTTAGAAAAACTATTAAAATGTAATCACTGCTCTAAGGGACAGTTCAACTCTGGAATAGAAGCAAAATATCTTTGAAATCAAATTTGTAACAAATTTTTATTTGATTTAAATATTTCAGGTATTGTTTTATGGCAATTCACACATCAGTTTGCATCACTTGCTACCTTTCATGAGTTGATGACACAGGAATGTACATAAGAAAATGTGAGAAGTTCTTCTCAACAGCATATATTTTTCATAAAAGTAGGTAAACAGAAATGATTTTCTTAGCGTTAAGCAATATCCCATCAAACATTAAAAATTACATGATTTTAATTACATGATTTTTATACATTACATTTGTGTCACCACGGGATGGATTTATTTATTTATTTTTGACATAATTATAGATTCCCCTTCAGTTGGAAAAACTAATACCGAGAGAAAATCTATATACCCTTCACCCAGTTTCCTGTGGTGGTAACCTCTTGCCTAGCCGCAGTATAATATCAAAACCAGAAAATTGACATTGACCTGATCCATCCACCTTATTCAGATTTCACCAGATTTACATGAATTCTTGCGTGTGTGTGCATGGATATGTGTGTATGTGGCCTTAGTTCTATGCAATTTTGTCCCATCTGCAGATTTGTTTTACCACCCCCTCACAGTCAATATACAGAACAGCTGCATCATAAGGATCTCCTTTTGTAAGCTTAGCCGCTTCTAACCTCTGCTTCCTAATCCCTGGCAATAACTAACCTGCTCTGAATCTCTGTATTTTTATTATTCCATGAATGTAATATAGATGCAATTGTACAGTATGCAACCTTTTGAGATTAGCATTTTTAGTCAGAATAATTATTTAACATCTAAATTGCTATATCCTTTTTGTTGCTTTTTATCACTGAGTATTATTTTATAGCATAGATATACCACAGTTTGTTCAACTATTCATGTATTGAAGGATATTGGGATTATTTCCAGTTTTTGGCTATTATGAACAAAGGTGCTTATAAATATTTACTTTCAAGCTTAATGAATATAAGTGTTCATTTTTCTGAATTGAATGCCCAAAGTACAATTCCCAGAATATATTATAAACAAATGTTTAGTTATGTAAGAAATTGCAACAACCTTTTCCAGGTGACTGGTCTGTTTTACATTCCGGCTAGCAATGTCAGAGTGGGCCAGCTAGTTACTTCATATGCTTATGAACATTTGATGTTAATCCTATTTGATTTTCCTCATTCTAAATGTGTAGTGATATCTCACTATGGCTTTAATTTGCCTTTCCCTAATGGTTAATGATGTTGAACATCTTTTTTATGTGCTTTTTATCAACTGTATACACTATTTGGAAAATTTCTCTTCATCTATTGCCCATTTTCTAATTGGACAATTTGGTTTTATACTGTTGAGTTTTGAGAGTCTGTTATATATTTTAGATGAAATACATTTGTTGGATATATGGATTGAAAATATTTTCTTTCAGTCTATAGCTTAGATTTTCTTTCTCTTCACATGAGTTTTCACAGAAAAAAAAAGTTTTCATTTTGTGGATGTCAGTTTATCAGTTTTTATTTTATGGATTGTGCTTTTAGTGTTAAGACCAAGAACTCTTCACCTAGCCCTATGTCTTAGCCACAAGATTTTTTCTTTACTATTTTATTTTTTTCTAAAAAGTTTTTCAGCTTTGCATTTTAAATTAGGCCCATGACCCTATTTTTAGTTATTTTTTTATAAAATATGTGAGTTTTAGTTAAAGGATCTTTTGTAAAAGATTTTGTACTTATGGATATCCAATTACTCCAATACTATGTAGTAAAAACTTTCTCCTTCCATGGGATCATTTTTACACTATTGTTAAAAATCTGTTGGTCTAATTTTTTGAAACTCTTTCTGGATTCTCTATTCTCATGGTTCTTGCTTCTGTTTCATTGAACTGAGGCTTCTCCTTCATGAATGCCACATTCTTTTACAAATTGTAGTTACACAGTAAGGCTTAACATCTGACAGAGCAATTGATACCACTTCTTTTTCAAGATAATTTTAGCTATCCTTGGTTCTGTGCTATTTCATATAAATTTTAGAATGAGCTTCTCGGTGCTTTATAAAGCATCACTGATATTTTGATGGACAGATATAGGAACTTATGAATTATTTTGGTTTTCCTATCCATTTACACAGTGTATTTCTCTATTTGGGACTGCTTTGGTTTATTTCATCAGGATTTTATACTTTTTAGCATATAAATACTATATATATTTGGCTAAGTATAGAGCTACCTACTTTCTTTGAAACACTAGTAAATAATGTTGCATTTTTAATTTCAGTTTTCACTTGTTTGTTGTCAGCATATAGAAATAAATTAATTTATATTCATATATCAATTTATGTAGCAACTGTATTTTTTAATCAATTGTATATTTCTTTATACAATTGCTCTTATATCCTGTGACTTTACTTAACTCATGTATTTGTTCTAGGAGATTGTGTGTGTGTGTGTGTGTGTGTGTGTGTGTGTGTGTGTGTGTGTGTGTATCTCCCTTGGGATTATCTACATAGACAATCATGTCATCGAAAAAAAAGCTTTATTTCTTTCAATCTGTATGCACGATTTTTTTTCTTTTTTTCCCCTTCTCACAGTGGCATGATCTTCCAGTATTATGTTGAAGAAATGTTGCAAAAGCAAACGCCCTTGCCTTGTTCCCAATCTTAGAAAAACAGCATTTGACGTTCACTATTAAGTATAATGTTAGCTGTGGGTGCTCTGTAGATGCACTACATCAAGTCAAAGACGTTTCCCTCTATTTCTAGTTTTAAAAAAAAATCATTCTGAAATGGATGTGGAAATTAGTCCATGTAAAATGGTAAGATTACTCTGATTTTTTTCTTCAGCCCACTATTATGAAGATTTCATTAGTTTTCAACTGTTAACAAAGTCTTGCATGACTTGAATAAAGTTCATTTGGTCATGGGGTATCCTTCTTTTTGCACATTTCTCGATAGGATTTGCTAATATTTTGTTGATGGTTTTATCATCTATGTTTATGGATGACATTTTCTCCAGTTTTCTTTTCTTTTTAAAAATATCATTTTTGTTTAGGTTTGGTATCAGAGTCATAGCAACTTTACAAAATAGTAGGGAAGTGTTCCCTTACAATAGATTGTAAAAAAAAAAAAAAAAAGAGCGTAGTTAATTATTCTTTAATTGTTTGATAGAATTCACCATTGAAATAATCTTATTCTGGCAATTTTTTTTTAACAGATTTCACTTTTAAATTTAACAGCTTCAAAAGTTATAGAACTGTTTACACTGTTCATTAGATCTTGGCTAAGTTTTGGTAGATTTTAGTTTTCAAGAAATCGGTCCATTCTTCTGAGTTGTTGAAATTATGCATGTAAAGTTACTCTTCATATTCACTTATTATCCTTTTACTAAATGCAGTGTCTACAGTGATATCTCTATTTTATACTTGACATGTTAAATTATGTCTTCTCTCTTTATTGTTCTTCCTGCTAAAGTTTTATAAATTTTATTTTATGTCAGAGAAGTAGTGTTTTGTTCCTCTACTGGTTTATTTTTTTTTCAGTTTCACTGATTTCTGATCAATCATTATTATTTACCTCTTTTCAGTTTATTTTGCTCTTTTCTTCCTGGTTTCTTGAGGATGAAACTTAGATGATTGATTTGAGAGCTTTTGTCGTTTAAAATGTAAACATTTATTGATATACATTTACCTCTCAGCACTGTTTTAGCTGCATCCCAGTTATTTTGATTTGCTGTATTGTTATTTCCATTCAGTCCTATTTATATTATTAAATTTCCTTGGAGACTATCTCTTTGATCTATACATTATTTAGTAATGTATTATTGAATTTCTAATATTTTAGAAAATTTCCAAGGGTTTCTGTGTTTTTGAAATCTAGTTTGATTCCATAGTGGTCAGAAAAAAATGCTATAAAATTTTAACTTCTTTAAATTTAGTTACAGTTTTATGGAATATAATGTCTTCTATCTTTGATGAATGTTTTATGAGCACTAAAAAATTGTTGGCTATCATGTTCTACATAGAGCAATTAGATCCTGTTATTTCATTTTGTTGATCATTTATTTCTTGCAGTAGGGTAGAGGCAGAAGTTCAGCTCTCTGCTGAGTTCATTGTCACCACAGGAAGTTGATGAAACTAAAATGTCATCTAGATCAATCTTCCATTTTCTTATTCTACTTTTTTTGCTGCTGGGTAGGGGTAGAGGGTCAGCTCCCTATTGCAATCAGTTGACTACAGGGTTGAAGACAAGTGGCGTTCTTACTGGCCCTCAGTCCTATAGCCTTGAGTCTTGAGTTCAGTCTTGATGATGCCTACTGGATGAGATTCGGCTCATTGTTAGTGCCTGCCAACAATATGGAAGGGTACTGCGAAGTGGAGTGGTAATTAGCCCTTGCTTGCAATGCTTTATTAGGTCTCATTGTCATAGAGTGGGGCTGGAAGTAAAAACACCTTTGCAAAAATTATCTCAGTGAGAGAAATCTAATCTAACTGACTCCATCTTGCTTTTAACCTCACAAGCTAATTGCCTTTGTTAATTTTAAAACAAAGATGATAGTTGCTTTCCAAAACTAAACCCCTCTTTGCTCAGAGACTAAAACCATCTTTGTAAGACTATGAAAGTTCACAAGAATAGGATTATGGGAGGGCCCTGAATTCTGCTAAAATGTAAGCATAGTAAAATGATAACTGGTCATTGTCTTCTATCTTGCCTTTCTATAATCACTTACTGCTTGAGAATCACATAGCTGGAGGTCACAGGATTTGTAACTTCCCCAATTGCTCCTGTAGAAAATAACACTGTTGTCAGAACTTAAGATTGGTATTTGAGATATTTTTCAGATTTTTGCATTATGGAAACCAGCTGACTCTTTCCAGACCCATGATTCATACCAAGAAACTTGTTCAGCCTGTCTTGGAACCCTCTTTTAGAAACTCTCAGCACATGAAGACCATTTGGACATCCCTATGATTTCATCTCCAACCAATAAGCAGCACCCATTTCTTCATTTCCTGCCCACCAAATAATTCTTTAAAGTCCTAGCCTCTGAGCTTTCCAGAGAAAGATTTGAGATAAATATCCCATTAGCCTGCTTGGCTGGCCTTGTGTTAATTAAACTTTCTTTGCTGCAATACCTGCTGTTCCCAGTGCATTGGCTTTTTTGGGCAGCATGCAAGATTAGCTTGGCCTGTTACAGAGGTTCTTCACATCACTAACTGTATTCCAGTGACACTACTTAAGCATTTAGTTGGAGCACCATTTTTCTTCCTCGAGAAGATCAGCCCCCATTCAGTTTGCTAGCACCACATAGTGGGAGAAGCCATCTTGTCTCCTTCTACCAAGCAAGTGGATGAGTTTGAAGATCTACTTTACTCTTGGCATGAAAACCATAAATAGGGTATGATTGTTATGCTGGTGCTTGGCTACAGTTGGATCAGTGTTGCCAAAAGAGGTCTGTGGTGATGCCACCATTTTCCCACATCTCGGCTAAAAAGCAGTGTAAAGCACAGGAATATGGAGCTTTTTTTTTTCTCATACTATTTTTTTGAGCTTTTTTGTTTGTTTGTTTGTTTTATGCCTATTGGTTCTAGGACAGAGAACTTTATGATGTTCTGTATAGGAAAAATAGAAGGGAAAGAGAAAACCTAGGGAATACAACACTGTGTGATTCCTCAAGCTCCTATGTCCTTATGAAGTTTACCTACTTGTTTGAAACTTTCAGTCTTCTTGATTATATTATTATGCTATATCCTGGGTCTTCTACTTGTAAGAGAAACAACCTAGGGAAAATGGAGCTAATCTATCTTGGCTGGAAGCAGATGTGTATGGATTGAATTTTAATGATTAATTACGCTGAATGAAATATTGAAACTAAATGCAAATGACCAAATATTTATTTTGAATGAGGGGCTTTGTTTTACTTTTTTTAAATGCTGCAATGTTCCACACATTTTGAAAAAAAAAATCTTTCAAAATTCTGAGCTTGTAGTTTTGACATCTTTTCTAGTTTTGCTGAAATAGAAATATTACATGTGGGACTTTGAGAATAATAATTATGCCATTTTCTTCATTAATATTCTTGACATCAACTCATGCAGAGTTTAATGATTACTTTCTAGATTTTAATATCTCCTATGTGAACTAATAAGGCATCAACTTTAGAGTTCTTGTGTTGACTTAAATATTTAGATATTTTATGGTTTATGTATATTAATACTAGATGAATATGTAGTGGGCTTTATTTAAATGTTTCAAAGCTTTTCAAACATTGTAATAATGATTAGTAACAAGTTTATATTCTGCTCATATTAGCTTTTCCTCTATTCCTTAGGGATTTTAGAAAATATAATTTTAAAGGTAAGTGAATTTTCTTTCAACTTACATATGTACAGTTTTACATACAAATTCAACCAATGTTTTCATTTGTAATTTAGAATGTGTTGCTTTATTTCTGAGAGGGGAATTCCTAAAATTTCTGTTTTAAAAACTCATCCAATATCAATAAATGAAAACAAGATGTTATCATTCCATGTAACTCTACTATACATTTATTTATCTTTATGATACAATCAGATTATTTTTTGAATTACAAAAACAAAAGATGTAAAGATTATAGGTGTCAGAAGTAGTTACTGGTCTTTCTTTTAATGCAATAAGCAGAATTGGAGATGAGATATTAATCCATTTATGCTGTTTATCTGCATAAAGACAGTTATCTCAAACTCAGGGTCAATTGACAATATTTAAGAATTATTGAAAGAAGCTTTTAAATTGAGATTTTTAGGATAATCATAGTCGATTTCAATCTTCTATGGGGCTTACATGATCCCACTAAATTGAGCTCTTTTAACTCAAGCAATTTAAAGGAAATCAAAAGAGGGAAAATAAAGAGATGAAAAACCTTAAATATTTGATGTAGGGAAGAAATTAAAAAAGTAACTACTGTTAATTTACTTTATTCAACAATAACTGGGCCCAGGGTAAAATGTTGTAAGATCTGGGACTTCTTCTTATCAAAGAATTTAGCTTGCAATGGATGTAGTAGGGGTGATTCTTCTTGGATGATATCTGAATTTCTTCAGGATTCCTATTTTCAGTGGCTTATCAACATGGAGAAGAATTTGTGTAGAGTATCAATAGATAACAATATATCTGTGTTTATGTATGTGTTTCTGTTTAAGGGGGCAGCAGTTCAATACTACTTTAAAAATAATACTCCCTGGCCGGGTGTGGTGGCTCATGACTGTAATCCCAGCACTTTGGGAGGCCGAGACGAGCGGATCATGAGGTCAGGAAATCAAGACCATCCTGGCTAACACGGTAAAACTCCGTCTCTACTAAAAATACAAAAAATTAGCCTGGCATGGTGGGGGGCGCCTGTAGTCCCAGCTACTTGGGAGGCTGAGGCAGGAGAATGGCGTGAACCTTGGAGGCAGAGCTTGCAGTGAGCCAAGATGGCAACACTGCACTCCTGCCTGGGTGACAGAGCGAGACTCCGTCTCAAAAAACAAACAAACAAATAAACAAAAAACTCCCTAAATTTTCCCCATGAAAGTAGGGCCTAAATTCCACAGAACTCTCTCCCCAGTGATGTTGACATTTGCAGTAAGAACTTCCCTGTCCTCCTATTCTTCACATAGAATCCTAGTTGTCATTATTATAGGAACATCTGCCTTATCGTATTTGGGGTAACAGGATTTTCTAATTCTAGGTATCGAATTATGAACAAATCTTGTTTTTTGCATAAATCTTACTTTCTTAAATTACCTGCATTTAAAATTTTAAAAATACATTTTGGCTTTTTTTGCATTACAAAGATAAAATAGTCTTAAGTAGTATTTAGTTGGGAAGTCCCATGTTCATGCTAAATCTACTTACTTTTGTTATTTTCTCAAAATATTTTCTTGAAAAAATAATTAATATATTTTTCTAAAGGTAATTTTAAAAATAAATTGACATTTAAATAATGTAGTTAATTACATTTAGTTACTTATGATTTAAGCAATGGAATTAGGATCTTAATTCAGTAGTTATTTAACTTCTATTTCACATAAAGACATATTGTATCTCTCAAATAAAGTTTCAAATTATTTTCAACTTTTGCTAGAAATGAAGTCTTACTGTGTTTCGCTGGTTGGACTTGAACTCCTGGGCTCAAGCTGTCCTCCCACCTGAGTCCCCTGATTAGCTGGGACTTCAGGCACATACCACTGTATACAGCAAATTTTCAATTTATCAAAAGCTTAATTACATTTTATTACCATCAAGATTAGAGAATAAACATACATTTTAGATTATTGCAGATAAGCATCTCTCTTTCTCTTCACATGTACACATAGTAAAAATGAACTACAGTTGTGGTTACTTACTCTATTTTAGATACTTAATCTTTCCCTTGTCAATAATTATGTTTATGTATTTATATATGTTATTCGTTATAAAAAGTAAATATTAACTAATTTTAAATAGTTTTAAAATATAGTATCTACTATAAATTAATGAATTCTATATCACAGTCATAAGCTAACATTGTTGCTGGAATTAATTTTATTATTTATTCATATTTACAAAACAATAGCTTTTTTTTCTATTTCAGACAAATTATACCTATTTTTCTCAATAACACATGGCTACAGTGAAAGACTTCCATTTATTGGTAAGTTTTATCCTTAACTGATGGATGCCCCATAATAATAGTAGACATGGTAAAGAAGAAAGAAATTCTTATATAACTTTTTGTGAAAGCCCATGATTTAGAGACTAATACAGTGGAGCTTATTGTGCAACTTACTGTGAAATTTCCTGATTTATTATGCAGTTCTTAGAGCTTATTGAGTGTCCTTATTGTCACACTTCATGATTTACTGAGTAATACAGAAGAGCTTATCACATAACTTGATAGTGAAATTCTGATTTACTGTGAAATAGTTGTTCCAATATGTTTCTACAATGGGAAGAGTTTATCTAATGTTTTCTAATTACAGACAAGCCTCATCAGACACTTCATTTTCAAAGCAAGTAAAATCTATAAGAAAGCTTTGAATACATCTTTTGCAATGGGAAAATTTCTCCCTTCAAAATGATCATTTATCCTAATTTCTGAAGCATTTAAGTCTGGGAGTTGGCCCCAAGAAAATGAAAGGCCATTTCTACTTTATTTAATAATGTGCCATGATGACACACAGTTGATGATAGTTATTTTTCGAGAGACTAAAGTTAAATTTTTCTAAAAATAATAAAGTCACTACCCTTGAATGAATTAAAGGTCTCAAATTATTTTTATAATACCTGGCTTAACTGTTTCTCTCTTTCACTTACCATTAAGCAAAGCCTTAAGGGAGAAATTTTATAATTTGACAGTATGCAAAATTGTAAGTTTATAAATTACCACTAAAACTGTAATGCTTTCATAATATGTTTATGCTACTTTTTGCTTCAAATATATGAGGAAATTCTATAACATGAAATGTTTTACTAATTTTTAAACTTTTTTGTTGAAGTCATTTTTATTTCTTAAACTTTATATAAGCTTAACAGTAATTAAATATCTGTAATGCAAATAAGTAACTTAACTCTTGAAAGAATCTATGACTTTGATGTTTAATTTCACTTATCTGAAAACTAAATTGTGCAAATGAGGATTATTTCATTTAATTTCATTTAATCTATGCATATACTTTGATATAGAAGATATTAAATGTAGATTGTATGCAATTATAAAAATCAATACTCTATATGCCCAAATATAATATCACTCCCAGGGTGATGTAGAATGCTCCCAGGGAACATGAAAAACACAGAGAATTATTTTTACCAATTAGCATGTCTACAATTAGAAAATATTGGATCTCTTGACATTAGGGAGAAAAGAGAAAGGGATAGAGGGTTGGACACAAATCTTTGGGGAAATTTTATAGCTAGGAACAACAGAAGGAAAAGTAGTAACTGAGCAAGACGGAAAAAGATAGTTATAGAGCTAAACACAGAATCTGAGGATACAGTGCATGTTTTCACCTTAAACTTAGCCAGTTTTGAACCGTCTGGTAAGGCTTATTATTTTCCTGGTAGCCAGTAGGCAATTTGATGCAGAGCTAAAAAGTTGTTATAAAATAGGGTTGATTGACAGATAATGAGAAGAAAAAAATCATATTAAAAAATGGCTTTACTAAAATCTAATGAAATATATTCCCTCAAAATGGAGTTGGTAAAGACAAAGTAATTACATAAGATGTAGATCCTATTAGATAATAATAGTACAAAAACTACAGAAGTTGACTATGCATAAAAATAGTTAATATATTAAAAGAAGAGAGCAGAAATTTTCGTTTACTTTTATGAAATTAAAGACATGACAACAGAAACTTAACTAGGAAAACTAAAGGGAACTATATTAAAAGAACACTACAGTTCTTTGAAAGGCATTGTGTGGTAACAGGACAATCAAGAAATAAGATGGCAGGAAGTGGAACCAAATACTGACTCCACAACATATCTTTCATCTATTATGAATTGATGAATCCCTAATGAGAATGTGTTTGTGGATATAACTCAATCACACCATCTATTATATTTAGTAGTCATTTCAGTAACAAATGCTTATCAAATTCACTTCGAATGTATAGATAATTATTGTTCTAAAACGTTACGTTTGTGTATGACGTACCAATGAATAGAAACCTCCACTGTAACACACACACACACACACACACATACACTAGCACACACTTTCTTTTGTTTCTTTTTTTTGAGACGGAGTCTTGCCCTGTCACTCAGGCTGGAGTGCAGTGGCACAATCTCTGCTCACTGCCAGCCTCTGCCTCCCGGGTTCCAGTGGTTCTTCTGCCTCAGCCTCCTGGACAGCTGGGATTAAAGGTACCCGCCACCAAACCTCAGCCTCCTGGACAGCTGGGATTACAGGTACCCGCCACCACGCCCAGCTAATTTTTGTATTTTTAGTAGAGACGGGATTTCGCCATATTGGCCAGGCTGGTCTCAAACTCCTGACCTTAGGCAATTTGCCCGCCTTGGCCTCCCAAAGTGCTGGGATTACAGGCGTGAGCCACCTCACCTGGCCAACAATTTCACATATACTCTTTTTTTTTTCTTTTTCTTTTTCTTTTTTTTTTTTTTCTTTCTGAGATAGAGTCTAGCTCTGTGGCCCAGGCTGGAGTGCAGTGGCACGATCTCGGCTCACTGCAACCTCTACCTCCCGGGTTCAAGTGATTCTCCTGTCTCAGCCTCCCGAATAGCTGGGATTACAGGTGCCCACCACCACTCCCCGCTAATTTGTGTATTTTTATTAGAGACGGGGTTTCACCATGCTGGCCAGGCTGGTTTCGAATGCCTGACCTCAGTTGATCCGCCGCCCTTGGCCTCTCAAAGTGCTGGGATTACAGGAATGAGTCACCACGCCCGGCCCACATAGACATTTAAACACAATTTATTAAATAGCAACATTTAAAATTTGTACTTTGTTATCTGAAATTCACAACCTTAGTCAAGTAATAAAGCACGTTTGAATGGACAGTATTCACTCCGCTTCATATCTCTACACTCCCTACAGATCACTTTTTGGCCTTTGGCTGAGATCAAGAGCACTACCTGAAGATGAAAGATGAAAGGAGCTGATTTGCAGATTCTCTCCCTATACATTTTTGTTGTATTGAATTTCAGTTTCATTTTATTCTCTTATCTTTCATGGAATGTTACAATTACCTAAATTATAGACTAATATAGAAGCTTTTGAGCAAAAGGGTGTATGTGCTGTGAAGGTCAACATTTTAAACGATCCTAAAACATAATTGTTTTAGAACGGGCACTTGTCTGGGTCCCACTGAATGACTCATTTCACGGCATCACATTCAAAATGGATTCTATCAAAGGAAAACCAACTCATTCTCAAGATGAAATTCATCCTTTGCATATTATGTATCAATGATATCACTCTTCCAGTGCCAGTTGTGGAAAAATAGGTTTCAACATAGAGTGGCTTGTACTGTGTATTTAATAAAGCTTTCAGAATGTGTTTCTTTTATAATTTCAAATTATTGTAAGTGTTAAAGTAGGTCCTGCAATAGTCTCTATAACACAAGAAAAGGCTTCGAGGGAATTGTATACTCAATAGCACTCGAGTGGTGTATTGAAAAAATAATGCCATTATTACAATAGCAAACATCATCAACTATATAAATATCTTCTTGTCTCATTTGAAATATGCATAGGGCTTTATGTCATCCATTTTACAAGTGCGTTATTGTCTCTCACAGCAGAGACCATGTGGGATGCTAAAATTTGAAAAGCTTTCTTATGTGTATATTGATTGATTGTGCATTATTAGATGTGTATTAAAGAATCATGTTTTTGTGAAAAGCCGTAAGTGCTCTATTCAGCAAAAATGTTACTCTGTTCTTCAGACTATAGAATATGTTTGGCTTCCTGTGGTAGGATTTTTAGCCAATTTGTTCAATTTGTCCTTGGAGTCTTTCCAAGGACAGTCAGAATGAAATCAGGGGTTGCAGCATTTTAATATCTCTTTGAAGTTAAGCATTGCTGAAGCACTCAGAAATCTGCAAATTTGCCAACTCTCCTGAGGGCTTTTGTAGAGTGTTAGTAGTTAATTAATTACTCCCTAGTAATCAACTTTGCAGTGTAATGGCAACTGTTTATTTTATTAACTTTATCAAATGCTGAATGAAAGATTAACATGCACTATGTGCTGTGTTCAGTTGTAAACTTTTACTAAATTTAGCAGAAACATGTAGACACAAATAATAAAAAAGTTACCTGAATATAGATCTGAGAAAAAGGGAGCTTAAACAATAGAATAGTCACAGTACATTTAAACTTTTGTTTTTGGTAATGTTAAATTTGATATACTCAACATATTACCTCGGGAGTAGTAGTAGAGTACATAACTCAATTTCCGATTCTGCTGTTAAGGGCCATGTCCGTATTACATCATAAAATACATATTTTGTGAAGGAACAAACAAACATGTTTCTAGCCTCAGAAGGAATATATTCATTGATAAAACTATGTTTGCTCTTTTTGATCTGACTAATATAACTCAGTTGGAGAGGTATACTGTCACTTTTTGCCCTCTAATATAAAGGTGCCTGGTATAAAGATACCAGATAGCCCTTGACTTTGAATTTGGACCTGGTACTTTTCATTGACCATTTGTTAACTCCAGTGAATTGTCTGTGCAAGTATTGCTAGCCATATAGACATAGCAACTGGGGTGGTGGGGAGGAGAGGGCACAGATGACAATTTATTGCATCTGCCCACAATCAACTACCATTGTTCCTATTTCGCACCATTGACTTTTTTTATAGTCGTAGTGTTCTGAGCACAAAATTTTGAGTTCTACACAAATTACTCTTAAGACAAATTGAGCAATTCTGTGACCCTAATATATGGCAGACAAGTGCTAAATTCCAAGTTTTCAAAAAAGATTTTTAAATTTTCTTATTATTTTCATAATTAGAATAATTGTGAAAAATTAAAAATATTTTATTTGGGGGTGATTATGTTAAAAAACAAGTTATATGATAATATCCAAGGGCGCGCAACATGTTTTCATTATAACTTTTGCTTCATTTTGTATATGAGTTACACAATTATTTGGATAATTGTCTTTAAAATAAGTAATTGTGTTTTGGCTTCAAATGCATGAATGGTATGTTAAAGAATTATTCAGGGAGCTGAGGTGCTCAGGCCAGTTGTCCTGGCGCACAAGGAGGCGAGGCTATGCGTTCAAGGCCAACCTGGGCAACATTTAAAAAAAAAAAATTAAAAACGGAATTATTCCAATGCTCTTAATTTACTTTGAGGATTTTAGGTGTCATGTTACAAAAAACAAAAAAAAATTGCTTTTAAGTATCTCATAGCCATTAAAGACATTTTACATTTTGCCTTTTTTTCTAATAAGATAAATTATATTACTACACTTATTTAGAAAGTAATTCACAATGGGTTGAAAGACTAAATTATTATTGTTATGTTTAAAGTCACCACCATTTTTTCTTATAAAAAATCTGTATTTTAATTTTTCAATCTCTTTTTTTGTCAGGATTTGATATTAAACTTCAGTAATATCAATACATTAAATGGGAATGTTTTCATCTAAATTTCTTCTCTGCAACATGAAAATGGTTTCTATGCCATGAAAATGATAAAAAAAAAATTGTTCTAGTACCATGTTGGCAGGTTGCCTACCTTGGATATAATTCTTTGAAAGCTTTTCCTATCTCTTCATCCATTATTAAGTCTGTTTAAATTTTCCTTACTTTATAATTAAATTTTGATAATTAATATGCTGGGGAACACCGCAGTGTCACACTCACATAATAATGATATACAGCACTGTACTAGGTATTTTATTTTTATGATCATGATATTCCCTCTGTCTGAGATTTTATTGCCTTTCTAATTGT
Organism: Homo sapiens; assembly: GCF_000001405.40. Lineage (NCBI taxonomy): Eukaryota > Metazoa > Chordata > Mammalia > Primates > Hominidae > Homo > Homo sapiens. The sequence goes on along the minus strand of NC_000013.11, from coordinate 89,212,454 downwards.
TCACTTTGTTAATGTGACAGTGTACAGTTAACAGGAAGAAGCCCAGCAACCTGCTGGAATCCTGTGTGGTTTGCCTTCATGTTTGGCTTTGTTTACTCAGTACAGCAGATTTTGAATACTGATGAGCACCTACCTGTAATAAAGAAATGCTAGGACAATTTTGATGTCCTTTCCACTGGATGAGCTTATTTCTATTCTTTAACTCCCTCAGTTAGCTTTTTATATCCTTCTTTCTTTAACAAAGAAAACCTTTTTCAGAAATATTTTAATCACTGCTCTAGTAGCAAATTTATCAACCTGGCCTTTGACCTATTCTTTGAATCAGTTGCCATTTTGAAGAGAAATACGAATTCAAAACAATAGTAACTATGTTTAGAGCTTCTCTATGTGTGTGTGTGTGTTGGGGGAGAGGTGGTGGGTATAGAGTTTACAACCTTGGCTTGATTTTATTTTCCTTCCGAATTTATGTAATTTTTCATTATGTCAGAATTTATTCAGGAAAGAAAATATATGGCATATACTGTTATTGGCTGGATACTTTCCTAAATGTTTAAATCTTGGTAAATTTACATTGATCCTCCAAGTTTAGCAGATTATAGAGGCACACATTTTTTCTCAAAGATATGTGACTCATTCTAGGTGGTCTTGTGTTATTCTAGGTTATTCTTCTCTGTTATCCACTACAGGTTTTCAGAGCCTTCTCCCTCAACAACATTGCATTTTCTTATAGGACTCTCATAGCTCTTCTCGTTTCAATATAAAAATAACTAATCTCATGAGCATTACTGAGGTATGCTCATTTTTTTTTCTTTTTTTTTTTTTTGCTAGTGGTGATACTGAGAGGGTAGAATGATGAGCAGGTTATATCATTCCCTACTGGGATGTGTATTATATGTCTATATTTTTCTTAAAAATCTTTAGACTATTTTTAAAATACCTTCTTGTTTGAAAATAGTAATTCTGAAGTTAGACTGTTTTAAAAATAATTAATTCCTTATTAAGTTATTGATTGGATATTGATTGTATAGAGTCTATAATCACTATAACTAAAATTTCATTCGTGTATTACTTTTCAGTTATGCTTAAAGAATTGTATTTGCTCATAAACCTATGAAGGGTAAAATTTGTGATACAATATTTAGTGATCAACTTATTTGCTACACAATTAGGTGTTACAAAGCCTGCCTTACTTCTGACATTAAAAAGAAAAAAGTTTGACCCTTCACCAATTTTAGTGTAGCCTTTCAGAAATACACACTAACATATGGCTTATTGGATGAACAAAGCATGAAAGGTGCATAATAATAGGATAAAATATAAATGTAGTACTAACACCTAATACTAATATATCACACTACCCAAATATTTAGGTTTTAAACAATTATTAAAATTATGACAAATTCATTCTAAGACATAATATTCAGTTACTTTCAAATCAATGCAAGGAATTACAAACCCTTATCTTCACTGTGTACATCCCTGAAATAAACATGTACTTCAGACACTAAATAGAAATTTACATTCCTTTTTTATTTTATTGTGGTGAAATACATATAACACAAAGTAGGCCATTTTAAATATTTTAAATGTGTAATTCAGTGACATTAATTATATTTATACTTCACAACTTTTATCTAAACTACAAGAGGTTACATCCTCTTTCAATACATTTTTAGCCAAAACAAACACACACACACACGAGATATAATGAGATGGTGATATTTCCATAAATGAATGGTAATATCTTCTACCACATTGTGTTCCAAGATTAGTGAGAAATAGCAAAGTAGTCATAAATCTTCTGAATCTTTGTGTAAGGGAAAAATGTTCTTGGTATTACTTTACAAAGTAGAGAATTAAAAGGAGAATCATAATTTCTTAATCTCATTATTAATTGTAACTTTCTGTATATTATCACCTATTCCTGTGTTATGATATACAAAGGATAGTTACTTCATATTACTTATTTAACTATGCCTCATTATTGGAATAATTAATAATAAAAAGCATTTAATTAGTGATAGTCATTTGGTTTTATTTTGAGACTTACAGAAGAGTTAGATAATGTATTATTTCCTTGTGTACTATGTAAAATATTCAAAGAAGATGAGATCTTTGTCCTCTCTAGAAAGTTATGATTCAATTTGTGGCCTCACATGTTGACTTCATTTACCTATATTTGCATATGTAAAATATTTTAAACGTTTTGTTATTGTTAAACAAAACAATAAATTTTCTTTTAAGTTCACTCTGGATTCACTTATAGTTCACTCAAAATTATACTTAGATACATACATACATACATATCACCTTTACATTTGATTTACTAATTTTAAAAGAGCTTGTAAAAAACTCAGTAGTCTTACAAATATAGTAGTGTTGGGACATAATACAATGTATACATAAATATGTATTTTATACATAATTTATATTATTAGTAGATATTCATTGTAAGATAACCCAATGTCTATCATATTGAAGTATTATCTTTAATAAAAATGTTTTATTTTGCTTCATATTCTTACAAAATTATATACAGAAATATGTACATGAAAGTAACTCATATGTTTATAATCATAGTATCATATGAATCTTATTAAAGTGGCTTGCTATCTTGGAACACTTAATAGTGAAGTGATATCAAAATATTTTACGTTATTTAGTTACACAGTAAGCTAAAAAATGGTAAAAATATCACCATGCCTCATGGAGCTCATATGCTTTATTTAATCTATCCAATCCTACATTTTGCTAATGTGTTGGATTCAGGCACTTACCTCTCAATCTGTATTCATGGAAAGTAAAGGTGGTCTTGTGGAGCTCTACACATTGAAATATGTTAAATTCTACAGGTTAATTCAGAGTAACTTTGATTTGACTATATAAGAAGAAGGAAAATAAAGACTGGGAGAAACAATTCCTTCACTGTAGAGAAATTATCAAAATTCCAAAAACTGGTAAATGATTTACCTATCTCCACATCTTTCTAAAATGAAATAGAAGCAAAATCTCTCTCAGAGTGCCTATGCAGAACTAGGGAAATGTGATACACTTTGATCTCACTTGAATATATTACTTAAATATAGTCAATAAAACAAATTATTAAAAACATACAAGGACAATATTTAAATGTGAGGCTAAATAATAGTTTTCTTCAGCTAATATTTGAACTGTACAGATATATCTGAATTTGTATGTAAAGTATTTTACCATGAGTTTTTTGTTATTTCAATTTTCAGATTCTCTGTGAAAGTAAAATAAAGACGAGATATTTAGGAAAGAGTGACACTTTCATAAAGTAAATACAAATAGTCATCTTATTCTCCTCCCAAGATTTAATAATGCTTTATGTCTGTTAGAAATGAGCATTTTCTTAATGTAGCCTGAAAAGTAAAGCTGGGTGAGGGATTTGTAACTTTGTTTTAACACACAAATATAATAATATTAAATCTTCCTCACACATCATATTTATTTAAATTAAGCAGTCAGGCATAGGTGATGCTACCACAAGTTATAGCTGGGTTGCTTATATTTTACTTTGCTATCTTTGTGAACTCTGAAAATTGGAGACAGTTCTCAGTTAATTTAGAAATTTCATTTTGCCAAGTTGAGGATGCGTGCTCATGAAACGGCCTCAGGAGGTCCTGACGATATGTGCCCAAGGTGGTCAAAGCACAATTTGGTGGTATACGTTTTAGGGAGACATGAGACATCAATCAACATAGGTAAGATGAACACTGGTTCGATCCAGAAAAAAGGGGACAACTCAAAGCAAAGGTGGGAAGCTCAAAGCAGGGAGGGGGCTTCCAGGTCACAGGTAGGTAAGAGACAAATGGTTGCATTCTTTTGAGTTTCTGATTTGCCTCTCCAAAGGAGTCAATCAGATATGCATTTATCTCAGTGAGCAGAGGGCTTGAAGTCTAATAGAATGGGAGGCAGGTTGGCCCTAAACACTTCCCAGCTTGACTTTTTCCCTTTAGCTTAGTGATTTGGGGGCCCCAAAATTTATTTTACTTTCACATCTTTTAACCTATAATTTTATTATAAACATAGTGCCTTAAACCATATAATCAGTGTATCTTCCAGCTTCAACTTTTGGTCGTTTGCAATTGCTCTTCCATTATTCGGCATGTATTAGAGCATATTGGATAGTAGGATTCAATAATTCCAAAACCTTTGTTCACCCAATCCCAACGTTTTGACTTCAACTGTATCTTCTTTTCTATATTCTTTACTGCAGTTCAGACGAAAAAATCCCCAGCTCTCCAATTAATCATGTTTTTCTTCCATTAACTAAACAGAGATGCTGAATTTAGCATCTGAGCTAATATTTTAATTTCTTAGTCTCTTTCAGCAAAATTTTATTTCAATTTATTCAATCTGGAATAAATAAAGATGGTATAATGGAGCCTTTTAGTCAAGGGTGATTGCTTGAACTGGTGTAATTGCCTTCCTCACAGACAGTGTTAATGTGTGAAAAAGTCTCCAGTAGTAAACTCCTGAATATCCTTTGGTTTTGTCCCCTTCTTTATGAATAACTTGACTATTTCCAGTTGATTTAGCTCCTTCTTATTCCAATTTCCTTTCCATTATTCTATTTTTTACACTTCCTCTTTATTCAAATAGCATAAATCTTTCTTCATCATCATAGATTTTATGTCCCATACGTGAAGGCAGTTTGGCTACAGCTTCTTGTATTGCTCTTGGAGAGTCTAACAGCATATGTTTCAACAAATGTTTAATGATTATTTCCCTGCCCCAGCCCTGGAATCAGGCATTTCTCTATTTAATTTCAGGGTTGCTTTTAGTAGAAAGTAGTATGTAGAAAGCAAGATCTGGTTGCTGGATATGCTAATTGATAAGAGAATTTTTTTTTCTCATAGTTCCTCCCATTGAATACAGACAGAAAGTAAGTATATGTATACACATGTACAGTACATATATATGCATTTACATATATATACACATGTGTATATACATATATTAGTCTTTATTACATTTATTTAAATACACGTAAAAATACATGTATTTTTCACACTCTATAAAGAATTTCCCCTGCTCAAGCCTGTAATCCCAGCATTTTGGGAGGCCGACGCGGGTGGATCACAAGGTCAAGAGATTGAGACCATCCTGGCCAACGTGGTGAAAACCTGTCTCTAGTAAAAATACAAAAATTAGCTGGGCGTGGTGGCACACACCTGTAGTCCCAGCTACTTGAGGGACTGAGGCAGGAGAATTGCTTGAACCCGGGAGGTGGAGGTTGCAGCGAGCCGAGATTGCACCACTGCATTCCAGCCTCGGCGACAGAGTGAGACTCTGTCTCAAAAAAAAAAAAAAAAAAAAAAAAAAAAAAAAAAAAAAAAAAAAAAATTTCCCTGAGATTGGGTAATTTATAAAGGAAAGAGAATATTTCTTTTTCTCCTTCCCTCTGCTCACCTCATTTCTTCTTTCTTCCTTCCCTGCACCCCACACCTTAAAATAAAGTTTGCATTTTATGTGTATGTTGTTAAGCGTACTGTGCTCATATTATATAAATGTCCAATTAGTAAGAATAGAAATTCATCCAAGATTTTGACGTTCATAGTTGTCAAAAAACAATAATTGAAAAGATTATTTCTAAGAGAAAACCTACATATAATGCTAAGCCCGTTGCCTAGTAAATACTAAGTTCTTAATAAATTTACTTCTTATAGTTATTAAGAAAGTAGTGTGAAAATAAACATAATAAACTTGATTATCCCCATCAATGTAATGAATATAGACTCTCTCTCTAAAAGGATAAGGAGTAAAATATCACAGGTCTTCGGCCTTATTTTTACAAATCAAGTGAGATTAAATGCACTGGCTGTTAGTAAGTTCATTTTTCTCTTCATTATAAAGCCTATCTTTTGAAAGCTGCAGCTATAAAGAAAAAAAGAAAGAAAAAGAAAGAGAAATAAATGAGAGCATTTGTAAAATATACCAGACACATCAGTTAATTATTTCAGGCATGTAAGACTGATAAAGCAGATTTTATATGTTCATCAGTTTTTTGTTTTGTTTTGTTTTGTTTTTTGTCTTAGAAAGAAAGTGTTGATTATAAGTTCAAAGTCAGTTTCTAAAAAGAATATTTCAAGTATAACTGCAATTCCAGAAAACTATTACATTGAGCTTTAGGAAATTGACTGTTGAAGTACATGAACTGCTCAGAGTCCAGTAGTATAGCAAGTCAATTTATTATTGTGTATCAGTCAGGATTCAACCAGAGAAATAGAACTAGTAGAATAAAGATTCAAAGATGCATTGCAAGGTATTGGCTTATGCTATTGTATAGGCTGGTAAAGCAAGTCTGAAATCCAGCAAGTACCTCATCAGAAAGGCACGCAGGAACTGTCAGATACAAGCTAAAGCAGCTATGCACAAGCATAAGTTCCTTATTCTTATGGAAACCTCAGTGATGTCTTCAGGCTTTTCAACCGATTGAGTCAGTCCTGCCTAGAATATCGAGGAGATATTCTAGACTTCAAGTAACTTGAAGTCATCTAATTACACACTTCAGTCAGCTCTATGAAATACCTTCATTGTCACACCTAAATTGATGTTTGACTAAACAACTAGAAACTAGAACTAGCCAAATTGACACATAAAACTGACCATTACAGAGTGTTCTGTAGATATATAGAAACAGGAAGTTTAAAAATCAAGTGCCAAAAGATGAAGTATCACACTTTATAAATAAGAAACAGATATATTAATCAATAGAAGGTGAGGATTAGAAACTAAAACTTCCAAGACAGCTAACTGGACACATAGCCTTCCTTATCTTTTCTCCTGCCAGCCTAATGAAAAGAATAACACTAGGGCTTAGGATGGCATAAGAGAATGCAATAAGAAACAACATTTATTTAGAGCTTTTTAGACAGTTTACATGTATTAACTCCCTTAATCTCTTAATCCTTAATAAATCTATATAATAACTCTGCTCTAAATACTTTTACAATTGTCATTTTATATAGGAGAGGATGGGGGAGAGAATTGAGACTTCAAAGTAATATATTCTATAATTTGTCAAAGTTACAAAGCCGGGAAGTAGTGGAGCTGAAATTCGAATGTATGGAATTTGTTCCTTAGGGTACACTTTTAGTTTCTATGGTCATTATGCTACTACCTCTCTGTGGAATAGCTTTTGAAAGTTTTGGTACTAATATTACAGAATTGTCATGCCAAGGAGTACATTAGAAACAGGACTGTGCTCAGAAAATACAATAAATAAAGATCTAAAAAAAGCTAAAAATTATTTTTGAAAGCATATTTGGTAATATCTATACTAGTTTTTTTCATACTACCCCTTAGTTTTACTTCATACAGAATAGTCTACAACTTATTCAGAAATGTAATGATGAAACATCTTAGCCTGACATCAAAAGATATGTTTCTTTATTTATCTTTCAGATTAAGAGGATAAACAATTGTAGATTATATTTGTGAAAAAGAATATCAAAATTACCTACCAAACAAAAAGGTGAGGTCATCACAGAAATGTTGGCTACTCTCTTTCTATGCACAAAATATCATTAATTCAAATAGGATAAATGTTAATACAAATCATCTTTAGAAATAATAAAACAGAGAAACACCATTTCACTGAAGAAAGTAAGCTCACAAATTCTCACTTGGATAAAACAAAAGAAATAATGTCTTCAAAATATTCAACAATTTTTAATGTTTTCTCCTGGAGTAATAAGGAGAAACTTATTACTAAACAAACAAACAAAAACAAATGAAAGTCCTATATGTAAGTAGCACGGAAAATTGCAACACATGATTAACATTTTTCTTTTCTAAATGTGCATCCTACTGTGACAAGGTATTTTATAGATCACTGGATTCCCAGTATTGAGAGAGATTGTTATGCAAGACACAAAAAGTGTTTAGTAAATTAATCCTTGTGTGAAATAAATATACAATAGCCATATACACTTATTTACCCTTTAGCTATTTTATTCTATATTCTTAATTTTCTAAAATTTGCCTTTCATTTTCTATGTGTTTCTGAGTATTGAATGATATTAATTCCAAAATAACTTCCTTGTTTTTCTTGATAACTAGGACTTCTGATTTTTTAATCTATGAGATTGGGATTTCTCTTGATGTATAATTGTATAATTCCCATGTAGATTTTTATCTGAATTTTATAAATTTCATAAAACATTCATGACAGTGAAGAAAAGTGTCATGTGTCTTTGTGACTCTGAAAAATGTTATATGTACTTGAAAGAACTCTTGAAATGTCAACTGTAAATGAAGGTACACAACAACATTTAATTTTATGAATACTTTAAAAATATTATGGGTATTTTGTATGCTGTAAAACCATTCTATGTGAAAATGTTTGTTTCTGCCTGATCAGATCTTTTTGAGTAAAATACATAGGCAACATGAGTGAAAGAATAAGCACATGACAAACAAGTCCTGGAAGTTAAAGATTGAGATTTCCAGGGAGATATCCAGGTTTATCACTCATGGAGCATTTTTCTGCCATCCTGGAAAACAATCTCCGTTTTCCCATAGAGAACTTGTTTACTTAAGAAAGGTAAGAATTCTCCCTCTCCTCCAGTGAGGAGGAACAGCAGCCATGTAAACTTGTCTGTATCAGATCAGAAATTAATAATTTTGGGGTTTCTCATACTTACTACAGGCTCCCTGTAAAGGAAAATAATGTCCGCCTTGTCACTTTCTCCTAAATGAAAAATAGGGCATGAGGAATCACCACTAAGGTATTTTGTAGGTAAATTATTGGTCTAATTAAGCAGTTGGCTCTAATCCAGAAATCTGAGTTATATATATTTATATATATATAAAATGAGTTATATATATATTTGAAATATATATCACCTGTATAAACTAACAATGCCCATGTTATCAATACGCACGTTTCACTTATTGATGGGCAGCTCCACTTGCATTGAAACCTAGAAAACTCATATTAATGTTTTTGCCAAAGTGGACTCTTTATTCAGGATATAGATGAATATCAAATATGCTCCAACATATTCTCATTTTTTTCTCCCCTCTTCAATCATTAGGCATTGAATGTTCTATAATATCTTATCATCAATAGATTACACATAATACTTTTCTATAGCTAATTTCCTATCTTCTATATGTTTTCAAACATATTTGGCATATTCGTAAATTTTCCTATCCTCCACATTGGAAAATATACCAGGAGCACAATGCTACATTACTCGCTTTCAAGCTCTCAATATAAAATCAAAGATGTATGAAGTAAACTAAAAATCACTACACAATATATATGCAATTACTGTATGTTAGACAATATGGTCAGAGCAAACATATATGCACGGGAGCTCTGAAGAATTGGTAGACTAGTTCTTCTATAGCTACAAATATTCAAATTTTTTATTGGGAAGAAGTGACAAGTTTTACTATGTAGTTCAAAAGAGCAAAATACATTCTGGGAGATAGAAGAGTGTGAATAAAGATAAAGTTTAGGGCGCTTTGCTGTGGCTCACGCATGCAGTTCTAGCACTTTGGGAGGCAGAGGCAGGCAGATTTCTTGAGCTTATGACAGTTCGAGACCAGCCTGGGAACACAGTGAAATCCTGTCTCTACAAAAAAATACAAAAATTAGCCCAGCATGGTGATGAACGTCTGTGGTCCCAGCTACTCAAGAGGCTGAGGTGGGAGGATCACCCTAGCCCAGAAGGCAAATGTTGCAGTGAGCTGTGATCACGCCACTGCACTCCAGCCTGGACAGCAGAGTGAGACTCTGTCTCAAAAAAAAAAAAAAAAGACAAAGAATAAGACGTGGACAAGTGAAAGAAACACTGTCATCTATATTACTCACACATATATGTACACAAGTATGCATACACTCATACATGTACATGTATACATAGAAGTATGCATGCATGTATTTATGCACACAATCCATATATAGTTCATGTATGCATACAAACATGTATACACATATATATGTGCGTATACAGGCCTGCATGTGTATACATAAACATATAACACATGCACATACACATATGCCAAATACACACAAATGGGACATTCCACTAGAGCAAAACTTCATAAAAACATGGGACTCCCCTGCACTAGGACAGTGCCTGCTATACTATAAATTTCATATTAAGTATTTGTTGCACAGGGAATAAACAAAAACAAATTTGACTGCAACAAGCAGGAACCCGAATTCATATCATTTTATGTCATAGTTATATTTTTAATTATAGCATAAAAGTATCAACAAGCTACTGCAATATTTTGCTTAGGAAAATTCCACCATCAGATTTGTATTTTTAAAGCAAACTTTTTTGTTAACAAAGTAGCTATGCTAGAAAAAGGCAGATTGGAAACACAATAGGAAGTTGGATCAGTCAGTAATACTTTGGGTGCAAAACAGAGAAGCCAGATTCAACATATATTAGAAAATAACAAGGAAACTTAATAAAAGTATAATGTTCAATCACAGAATGTTTTGATCGAATGAGGAACAATCAGGCATACAGCTCAGTTACAGGAAACATTTGGTTTACATAAATAAGGGATCTATTTATCTACATATCTACCTAGCACTCCTCTCCTCTTCTTGGCTTCTTCTTGCATATTCTTAATCTTAAAGAAAAATGTGTGATATTCCTCCTTGGGGAAGAAGACTGCTCAGGAAGCTTATTTTATCTTCTGTGGCTGTTCGGCTAAAGAGAGATTTAATAGATTTGCTAAACAATATTGTGCTTATACTTAAAACACTGTATGGTACACTTAAAGTGCATTAGGGGTAGATATCATGTTAAGTGTTATTACAATAATTAAATAAAATCTTCTTTAAAATTTCAGGGAAGTTATTGTATTTGCCCAGCTTGTTTAAATGCTGAGCTAATCATCTGTAATCTGAGAGTGAAGGGTGTAAAGCATATAGTAATAGTTCAAACTTCATGGTTGGAATATAAAAAAGTGGAGCTTTGCTAGTAGAAGGACTGGAAGGAATACTGCATAAATAAACAATATATCATTCACTACTCTCTTTTAGTAATCACACAAATAAATGAAAACTATAACTTCCCTAATATACACATCTAAGAAGTAGTAAGTATGAGGTGTGATAGCTCAAGGATAAAATTGATAGAGGGGTGAGCAATAATCTAAGAAGAGAAGGGGAAGTTACCTAGTCTTCTATCTTGGGGACTTGACTTGGAAGACAGACAGGTATTTACATGTGGACATACTGCTGTTACGGGAAAGCCATCTGGAGATGTCTTGAAGGCATTCGGGCACATACTCGGACTTCATGAGTAGCACCTTGCTTAGAGGGCTTGCTTAATTTTTGTCTATTCCTGACGAGGCAGAGTGTGGACTCTGAGGAGAAAAGATTAGGCTGAAACTCTAAATGGTAGTGTAAATAGGAGCAGGAGAAGATCAATCTTTTTAGGTGGTCATAGTAATGCAAATAGAGAGAGAAAAGGAGGAAAAAAAATAGTATCTTAACAACCAGCAAAAAGCAAGGAGTTTGAACAGTTTCAAATTCTAGAAAGAGTGTAGATGATGCCAGGTGTGATGGCTCACGCCCGTAATACCAACATTTTGGGAGACCAAGAAGGGTAGATTGCTTGAGACCAGGAGTTTGACACTACCCTAGGCAACAGAGCAAAACACTGTCTCTACTAAAATAAGAAAAATAAAAAATTATCCTAGTGTAGTTGTGCATAACTGTGGTCCCAGCTACTCAGAAGGCTGAGGCAGGAGGATGGTTTGAGCCCAGGAGTTCCAGGTTGCAGTGAGTTATGATCGTGCCACTACACTCCACTACACTGGGCAGCATAGCGAGATCATGTCTCATAGAATAATAATAATAATAATAACAATAATGTCTAGAATAGAATAGAATGAGTTTAGTAAGAACATTAGAAATTGTTTATTGTAATGAACATCTGGGAGGTCATTGTTGAAACTGATGTTAGCAGCATATTAAGGAGTTGGAGGAAGAAACAAGCTTATAGTAAATGATGCAGTGACTAAGCTTAAGATAATGCAGACTACACTATCTGAAGCCTAGAAGTTATCACAACTAAAGAGGCACTCATTTTCTAGAGAGTGCTTTCCTATGGCACTATAGGAAGCATTATGAAAACTGTTCATAATTTAAACCTTAAAAATAGGAAAATTTAAAAATTTTGAACATTCTCCCATTATTGTTTGATTTGCATAATATTTTATTTTGAATTATAGCAAATCACATTAATTTTATGAAATTAAAATGCACTGCTCAATAATTTATCACAAATAAAATGCTCATGTAACAATAACAAAGGTTAAAAAATAGGACCTTGTTGACATTTCCTAGAATTTCCCTGCAATCACTGTCTCTCTATCCTTAAAGATAACCATTACTTCAGATTTGTGTGCATGAGAGTGTGTGTGAGAGGATCACTTAGGATCACTAATTTCCCTGCTTTAAAACAATATATAATTTTAAGGAAAGATCTCTGACAAAAGTGTGAGTTCATCCACCTGTAATTGATCCATATTTGCCAATTATGGTAAATTTTTATAAGCGTATGATATGTACTTAAAAATATATTTATTGCAGGCTAGTTATGTATGTCCATTATTTTAATATACATGTTTGCTGATTTTATTTTTCAAATCTATATTTACTTAGTAATTACTTTCTGGCAGTTCTCAATTACTGAGAGGTGTGTGTTATTGCTCATTCCGAATGTAATTTTGATTCATCCTCTTTTTAATTTTGACAGTTTTTGTTTCTTTATTTAAATTTGTTTTAAATTTATATAAATTTAGAATTGTAATTTCTTCCTGGTAAATTGAAACTCTTATTACAAAATTTCTCTCTTTATTAAAGCTCTTTGTCAAATGCCAATTTTCTCTGATATTAATATAGCTGTCAGTTTTATTTTGCTTAGTGTTGACATAATTCATTTTCTTTCCTTTGTATTACTTTCTGTATCTTGACACAGTATAAGTCTCGGTTGTAAAGAGCACATAAGATAAACAGATAACCCCTAATGTTTGTAGCTCTGACTAATATAGTCTACATGTACTTCAGTTTTGAATGCATATTTTCCATTTTTACTTGTCTAATCAGACTACTTTAAAACCTACGTTAATCCAGCACAGTACATTACCTCATGTGATCATCAATTGTTCTAGAATGTCTCATTTTACTTCTAAGTGCCCCTTGCTTTTGTTCACATTAAATTACTATTTAAAGATGAATAACTTCCTGTTAAAGTGATTGTAAACGGAAATGCAAGTTGAGTCTTGTAATTGCAGAGCAGTACGAAATTATAAGTTGCTCATTCAGATGATAGAACATATGCTTATATAATTTTATATTATTTTGTAATGAAAATATATGCATAAACTCATAGGGGAATTTATGGACACAATAAACTTATCAACTCACATTGAAGTTTGTGAATACCTAGGAATGTATTTCTAGGCACAGAATTGTCCTAAGAACACAGGTTGAGAGATTTGCTGATCTTAAAACCTAAATATCTGTCTGACAAATATATATGTGGATTCTTTCCCATTCTCCTGTTCTCTCAGACACAGTCCCATCAGGCTTTTGCCTGAAGCATGTTATCAAACACAGCTCTTGTAAAAGTCTCATGTCTTCTTTGATCCTAAAATTCTATAGACAGTATTAATCTTTACCCTACTGGCCCCATGTTTGTCAAAGGTAATGACCACCCTCCTGTCAGACATGATTTATTTAATAGCTGTTAAGAACACCAACCCCTCTGCTTTTCTCAACGTTGTCACTTATTCCTCAGCCTCCTTTTCTATTTCTTGTATTTTCACTGAATTCTCCATTGCTCAGTTAAATTCCTCAGGTTTTATCCCTTCCTCTTCATTTCTAATTGTAGTCACTTTCCAGGCAGTTTTATTTGGGTCTTTCATTTATATTCATATATATGCTTAATAATAAACTTATTTTAAAAAGAAATATATACTTTGTAATTCAAATTATAGTATAAAACATTTTTCCAATATGTATATAATAAATATATTTTTATATCTACCTACAATTTTATATAAGCTGATAGACTTATTTTATTTAAAAATATGAAGATTTATCATATCCAAAAACCTCCTTTAATATATAAATCAGAATATTTAATATTATGAAAAGTTTTCTTACATACAATTTTATACAGCAATGGATAATAATCTGATAATTTCTAAAATTAATGTAGTTTAATTTAATTAACGTTAAAATAAACACTTTTGACTATGTGCCTTGAATCATTGTATTATGTTAAGAAACAATTTTTCAACATATTTAAATTATAATATATAATGAATATATGTATAATTTGGAAGATTATAAATGTATATGTTATTAGTAAAGATTTATCTTATCAGCCTCAGATTTTACATAACTAAGAATGAGTATACTATATCTTACTTTTTAAAAAAGAACATATGAAGATTATAAAACATACTTGCAAAGCTAATCAAAATGTCTGGTTATATCGATCATGAATAAAATATATTATTTTAAAGTGGTTATTTATTTGGGGAAGAGAAGTGGTCATGTACATTGTTTATAAGTTATAGGCATCAAATGATTTGGTACTGGGTGGTGGCTGATCTAGGTTGTAGGTCTAGGGATTTTTTATTTTTATTTTTTATTTTACTTTAAGTTCTGGGGTACATGTGCAGAACATGTAGTTTTGTTTCATAGGTATACACATGCCATGGTGGGTTGCTGCACTCATCAACCGGTCACCTACATTAAGTATTTCTCCTAATGCTATCCCTCCCCTATCCCCCCACCCACTGACAGGCCCCAGTGTGTGATGTTCCTCTCCCTGTGTCCATGTGTTTTCATTGTTCAACTCCCACTTATGAGTGAGAATGTGCGGTGTTTCGTTTCTGTTCTTGTGTTAGTTCGCTGAGAATGACGGTTTCCAGCTTCATCCATGTCCCTGCAAAGGAATGAACTCATCCTTTTTTATGGCTGCATAGAATTCCATGGTATATATATGCATAGAATTCCATGGTGTATATGTGCCACATTTTCTTTATGCAGTTTATTATTGATGGACATTTCGGTTGGTTCCAAGTCTTTGCTATTGTTAATAGTGCCACAAAAAACATAATTTTGCATGTGTCTTTATAGCAGAATGATTTATAATCATTTGGGTATATACCCAATACTGGGATTGCTGGGTCAAATGGTATTTCTGGTTCTAGATCCTTGAGGAATCGCCACATTCTCTTCTACAGTGGTTGAACTAATTTACACTCCCACCAACAGTGTAAAAGCGTTCCTATTTCTCCACATCCTCTCCAGCATCTGTTGCTTACTGACTTTTTAATGATCGCCATACTAACTGGTGTAAGATGGTATCTCATTGTGGTTTTGATTTGCATTTCTCTAATGACCAGTGGCAATGAGCATTTTTTCATGTTTGTTGGATGCATAAATGATTTCTTTTGAGAAGTTTCTGTTCATATCCTTTGCCCACTTGTTGATTTTTTTTTTCGGAAATTTGTTTAAGTTCTTTGTAGATTATGGATATTAGCTCTTTGTCAGATGGATATATTGCAAAAATTTTCTCCCATTATGCAGGTTCCCTGTTCACTCTGATGATAGGTTCTTTTGCTGTACAGAAGCTCTTTAGTTTAATTAGATCCCATTGTCAATTTTGGCTTTTGTTGCCATTGCTTTTGGTGTTTCAGACATGAAGTCTTTGCCCATGCCTATGTCCTGAATGGTATTGCCTAGGTTTTCCTCTAGGATTATTATGGTTTTAGGTCTTACGTTTAAGTCTTTAATCCATCTTGAGCTAATTTTTGTATTAGGTGTAAGGAAAAGGTCCAGTTTCAGTTTCCTGCATATGGGTAGCCAGTTTTCCCAACACTATTAAATAGGGAATCCTTTCCCCATTGCTTGTTTGTGTCAGGTTTGTCAAAGATCAGATGGTTGTAGATGTGTGGTATTATTTCTGAGGCCTCTGGTCTGTTCCATTGGTCTATATATCTGTTTTGGTACCAGTACCATGCTGTTTTGGTTACTGTAGCCTCGTAGTATAGTTTGAAGTCACATAGCACGATGCCTCCAGCTTTGTTCTTTTTGATTAGGATTGTCTTGTCTACACAGGCTTTTTTTTTGGTTCCATATGAATTTTAAAGTAGTTTTTTCCAATTCTGTGAAGAAAGTCAATGGTAACTAACTTGATGGCGATGGCATTAAATCTATAAATTATTTTGGGCAGTATGGCCATTTTCACAATATTGATTCTTCATATCCATGAGCATGGAGTGTTTTTCCATTTGTTGTGTCCTCTCTTATTTCCTTGAGCAGTGGTTTGCAGTTCTCCTTGAAGATGTCCTTGACATCCCTTGTAAGCTGTATTCCCAGATATTTTATTCTCTTTGTAGCCATTGTGAATGGGAGTTCACTCATGATTTGGCTCTCTGTCTGTTATTGGTGTACAGGAATGCTTGTGATATTTTGTACATTGATTTTGTATCCTGAGACTACGTTGAAGTTGCTTATCAACTTAAAGAGATTTGAGGCTAAGATGATGGGGTTTTCTAAATATACAATCATGTCATCTGCAAACCGAGACAATTTGACTTCCTCTCTTCCTATTTGAATACCCTTTATTTCTTTCTCTTGCCTGACTGCCCTGGCCAGAACTTCCGATACTATGTTGAATAGGAGTGGTGAGAGAAGGCATCCTTGTCTTATGCCGGTTTTCAAAGGGAATACTTCCAGTTTTTGCCCGTTCAGTATGATATTGGCTGTGTGTTTGTCTGTTTGTCATAAATAGCTCTTATTATTTTGAGATACATTCGATTAATGCTTAGTTTATTGAGAGTTTTTAGCGTGAAGGGGTGTTGAATTTTACTGAAGGCCTTTTCTGCACCTATTGAGATAATTATGTGGTTTTTGTCATTTGTTCTGTTTATGTGATGGATTGCGTTTATTCATCTGTGTTTGTTGAACCAGCCTTGCATCCCAGGGATGAAGCCAACTTGATTGTGGTGGATAAGCTTTTTGATGTGCGGCTGGTTTCAGTTTGCCAGTATGTTATTGAGGATTTTTGCATCAATGTTCATCAGGGATATTGAGCTGAAATTTTCTTTTTTTGTTGTGTCTCTACCATGTTTGGTATCAGGATGATGCTGGCCTCATAAAATGCGTTAGGGAGTGTTCCCTCTTTTTCTGTTGATTGGAATAGTTTCAGAAGGAATGGTACCAGCTCCTCTTTGTACCTCTGGTAGAATTCGGCTATGAATCTGTCTGGTCCTGGACTTTTTTAGGTTGGTATGCTATGGATTGTTGCCTCAATTTCAGAACTTGTTATTGGTCTATTCAGGGATTCAACTTCTTCCTGGTTTAGACTTGGGAGGGTGTATGTGTCCAGGAATTTATCCATTTCTTCTAGATTTTCTAGTTTATTTGCATAGAGGTGTTTATAGTATTCTCTGATGGTTGTTTGTATTTCTCTGGAATCATGGTGATATCCCCTATACCATTTTTTATTGTGTCTATTTGATTCTTCTCTCTTTTCTTCTTTATTAGTCTGGCTAGTGGTCTATCTATTCTGTTCATCTTTTCAAAACACCAGCTCCTGAATTAATTAATTTTTGAAGGGTTTTTCATGTCTCTTACTCCTTCAGTTCTGCTCTGATCTTAGTTATTTCTTGCCTTCTGCTAGTTTTTGAATTTGTTTGCTGTTGTTTCCTTAGTTTCTTTTAATTTCGATGTTAGGGTGTCGATTTTAGATCTTTCCTGCTTTCTCTTTTGGGCCTTTAGTGCTATAAATTTCCCGCTACACACTGCTTTAAATGTGTCCTATAGCATTTTTTAAACAGGTATACAGAGATTTAAATATACTAGAAACAGATTCTGCTATAGCAGAATCCCAATACAGATCATCCCCTCCACTGATTACAACTAAAAACTCTGAACAAAATAATAATACCTAACATGAACGTGAATACTAATAAATACTAGGGTACTCTATGCTGGGTAATCAAATATGAAGAATTTACTCACATGGGGAAATAAAGGCCAAATTAAGACATCCTCTGATTAAAGAAATCTAAGAGAATTTTTTATCATGAGACACACTGCAAAAAGTGCTATGAAGAAAATTCTCCAGGCCAGAGACAAACTGTTAGATGGAGAATTATACTCTCAAAAGGAAATGAAGTAGTAACAATAATGATAGTAACTATCTGTATAAATATAATATACTTCCTTTTCTCATTTAAATTATTTAAAATGGGTCCAGCATGGTGGCTCACGCCTGTAATCCTAGTACTTTGGGAGGCCGAGGGAGGCAGATCACAAGGTCAGGAAATCGAGACCATCCGGGCTAACATGGTGAAACCCTGTCTCTACTAAAAATACAAAGAATTAACTGGGCATGGTGGCAGGCACCTGTAGTCTCAGCTACTTGGGAGGCTGAGGCAGGAGAATCGCTTGAACCTGGGAGGCAGAGGTTAGAGTGAGCCTAGATCGTGCCACTGCACTCCAGCCTGGGCGACAGAGCAAAACTCTGTCTCAAAAATAAATAAATAAATAAATAATTTAAAATGTTTAATTATTTAAACCACAAATTAGTGTCTGGCGAAGTTTCCAACATCTCTAGATCTAATTTGCATGACAAGTAAGACACATGTCAATTTAGGGAGGGGTTATATAACTAGATTTCTACATCATGTGAAGCAGAATTTATTGCCTATATGCAGATCATGAAAGATTACGTAGTTGTAATGTTTTGAACAACCAAAAAAGGCAACAAAAGGAGATATGTCCAAAAAGATAATTTTTAAATTGAATAATAAAAATACTTAAATAATCCTGAAATAAGCAGGAAAGGAGACGGGGTGAGCAGAAGAGAAAAATCAAATGGATGCATAAAAAACAAATATAAAATAATACATGTAAATCTAACATTATAAATAATTACATTTTCTACACAACTAACTAAAAGGCACAGATCGGCAGAGTACATAAAAAGCACATCCATGCTATACATACTGTATACAAGCAGCATATTTTAGTTCAAATACAGAGATAAATTAAAAATAACTGGATGCAAAATATGTGCCATCAACAAAAACAGCCTAAGAATACTACAGAAGCTATGTCATTATTAGATAAAATAGACTGCAAGACAAAGAGTGTTACTAGAGATAAAGGGGACACAGTGACAAAAGAGAATATTCATTCATGAATGTGTATAAGGCTAATAGTAGAGCCTTAAAATATACAAGGCAAAAATTCACAGACTTGAATGGAAGGATAGCAATAAATTATGCATCTTTCAGCAATTGATGGAACAATTATACTAATATTTAGGAAGTCATAAAAGATATAAATGAAATTATAAAAATTATTGATTTCATTGACATATATCAAACAGAATGCTCCATCCAACAACTACGGAATGCAGATTTTTTTTCAAGTGCACATGATACATTTAAAGACATAAAACGTTTTAGAAACTGGAACTCCTAAATACATTTTAAAAATATAAAAATCATTGATGTGTATTACCTGACAACACAGACATAAATTCAAAAAATAAATTATACTCAGCTATATTGGAAACTCTAAAAATACATATATTAATTCTCATTTAAATAATTAATAGCTCATAGGTTAAATCAAAAGAGGAATTAAAATATAATTAGATCTGAATGATCATTAAAAGATAATATATGAAAATGTGTGCAATGCAGTTAAAGTAGTGCTTAGTTGGAAACATAGCAAGCTATAAAGCCTAAAAGAGAAACGAAGCAATTAATAACATACTTTAAAACTTAAAATAGCAATGAAGAAATATCAAAAAACGATGATCTTACATTCAGTCTTAAAATATACAATACATGGCCAGGCACAGTGGCTTACACCTGTAATTCCAGCACTTTGGGAGGCTGAGGCAGGAGGATCACTTGAGCCAGGAATTCCACACCAGCCTGGGCAACATGGTGAAACCCCATTTCTACAAAAAATACAAAAATTAGCTCAGCATGGTGGTGCGTGCCTGTAGTCCCATTTACTTGGGAGGGTGGGGTGGGAGTATCATCTGAGCCTGGGAAAGTTGAGGCTGCAGTGAGCCATGACTGCACCTCAGCCTGGATGAAAGAATGAGACCCTGTCTCGAAAAATATATGTAGAATATAATTAACAATCCCAAAATAAGTAGAAAGAAGGAGTTGGTAGAGATACGTATAGAAAACAGAGAAATTTAGCAACACCAAAAGATGATTCTTTAAAAACAACTTTTAAAAAGTGGATTAATTGCTAGATTAATCAAGAGAAAAAACAAAGCTCAAAAATTACCATAAATGGGATCAAAATATGGTTATCAACAGAGATTTTACAGATAGAAAAATGTGTAAATAGAATACTATGAATAACTGTGTAAAGAAAACATTAAAACTCAGAAGAAATTTGAAAATTTCTTGATAAATACAACTTGCAAAAACTGACTCAAGAGGAAATACAAAAACTAAATACTCCTATATCCTTTCAGAAATTTTAATTCATTTTATAAAATTTATTGATATTTAATATTTATAAATATTTATTGTATACGTGTGATATTTCAGTAAATGCAGATAATGTGCAATGATCAAATCAAGGTGTTTAGTTTATCCATCATCCCAAACATTTATCTTTTATTTGTGTTGGAAACATTACAATTCCAACCTTTTAGTTATTTTAAAGTATATAATAAATTATTGTTAACTATAATTTCTCTACTGTACTATTGAATATTAGAGCTGATTTTTCCTGTCTAAACGCATTTTTGTATCCCTGAACCATCTTCTCTTTATTTCTCCTTCCTCTTATCCTTCACAGACTCTAGTAACCACATCTCTACTCTCCATCTCTATGAAATCAACATTTTTAGCTTGAATATAAGAGTGAGACTATGCAATAATTGTTTTTCTGTGCCTGGCATATTTGACTTAACGTAATGGCCTCCATTTCCACCCATGTTGCTGCAAATGATAGGATTTCATTCCTAGTTTATGTTTGAGTAATGTTCTATTGTGTATCTATATCACATTTTCTACCAATTAATCTATTGATGGACACTTAGTTTGATTCATATCTTGGCAATTGTGAATAATGCTGCAATAAACATGGGAGTGCTGATGTCTCTTTGATATATTGATTTCCTTTCCTTTGAATATATACCCAGCAGTGGGATTACTAGATCATACAATTGCTCTATTTTTAGTTTTTGTAGGGAACACCATGCTGTTTTCTATAATGATTTTACTACTTTACATTTCCACCAACAATGTAGGAATGTTTCTTTCTCCACATCCTCACCAGCATTTGTTATTTTTTATCTTTTTGATAATAGTCATTCTATTGATTTTCCTTTACCTGATGATTAGTGATATTGAGTATTTTTATATATACTTGTTGGCCATTTGTATGTCTTCTTTTGGAAAATGTCTATTCAAGTCTTTTGCTCATTTTAAAATTGGAATATTTGCTTTTCTTCCTACTGAACTGAGTTACTTACATAGCCTTATTATTAATCTCTCATCAGATGGATACTCTGCAAATTTTTCTGCCTTTCATTAAGTTTTCTGTGCCATTGTTGATTAATTCCTTTGCTGTACAAAAGCTTTTTATCTTGATGTAATCCCATTTGTCTATTTTTGCTTTTGTTACCTGTACTTTTGTGGTCTTACCCGAAAAAGCTTTGTCTAGACCAATGTCCTGTAGTGTTTCCCTGATATTTTCTTTTAGTCATTTCACAGTTTCAGGTCCTACATTTAAGTCTTTAATGAATTTTGACTTGATTTTTCTATATGATGAAAGATGAGGAACTAGTTCCATTCTTCTACATGTGAATATCCAGTTTTCCTGGGCACTATGTATTGAAGTGTGTCTTTTCCCCGATTTATATTCTTGGCACCTTTGACAGTAGTAATCATGCCATAAATTAGTGAATTTGTTTCTGGATTCTTTATTCTGTTCTATTGGTCTATGTTCTGTTTTTATGCCAGTACTATGCTGTTTTAGTTACTACAGATGTTTAGTGTAATTTGAAATGAGATGGTGTAATGCCTTCAGATGTGTTCTTTTGCTCAATTTTGCTCTAGCCATTTGGGGTCTTTTGAGAATTTACACAAATTTCAGGGTTTCTTTCTATTTCTGTGAAAAATGTCATTGATATTTTGATAAGAATTACATTGAAGCTGTAGATTGCTATGGTAGTATAGACATTTTAGTAATAATATGACTTCAAATCCATGAGCATTTGTTATTTGTTATTTGCTGTGGTTTTGATTTGCATTTCCTTGATTAGTGATGTTCAGCATTTTTTCATAAACTTTTTTTTCCTTTTGTATGTCTTATTCTAAGAATGTCTATTCAGATACTTTGTCCACTTTTTAATGAGATTATTTGTTATTTTTGATGTGGATGTGTTTAAGTTCCTTGTAAATATTCTCGATATTAACCCCTTGTCAAATGAATGGTTTGTAAATATTTTCTCCCATTCTGCAGGATGTCTCTTTACTCTTGTCTTCTTTGCTCTGCAAAAGCTTTTTTAGCTTGACGTAATTTCATGTCTATCTTTGCTATCGTTGCTTTTACTTTTGAGGTCTTAAGCCATAAAATATTTGCCTGGACAAATGTCCTAAAGCATTTTCCCAGGCTTTATTTCTAATACTTTTGTAGATTTGGGCCTTGTGTTTAAGTCTTTAATCCATTTTGAGTTGATTTTTGAATGTGGTAGGAGATTAGGGTCTAGTTTTTTTCTTCTGCATATGGATATACGGTTTTCCCAGCACCACTTATTGAAGAAGGTATCCTTTCCACAATGTATGTTCTTGGTGTCTGTGTCAAAAATAAACTAGTTGTAAAAATTTGCATTTATTTCTGTGTTTTCTGTTCTGTTCTAATGATCTGTGTGCTTATTTTTATACAATATTATGCAAAATAAACATGCAGAAATCAGTACCATTTCTGTACACTAATAACAAACTAGTCAAAAAAATTAAGAAAGCAATCCCATTTTCAAAAACTAAAAAGAAAACTAGAAATAAATTTAACCTAGGTGATGAAAGACCTCTACTAAGAAAACTAAAAAAAAACCTGGTGAAAGAAATTGAAGAGGAAAGAAACAGAAGGAAAATCATCCCATGTTCTTGAGTCAGAAGAGTTTATATTGTTAAAATGACCATACATACTACCCATAGCAATCTACAGATTTAATGCAATCTCTGTTGAAATACCAATTACATCTTTAAAATACATTTTAAAAAAGAATCATAAAATTTGTACGGAACCACAAAAGACCCTGAATAATCAAAGCATATTGAGCAAAAAGAACAAAGCTGGAGTCATCACACTGCCTGACCTTAAAATATAGGGCAAAGCTATATTAACCAAAACAGGCATTTGAATTATTTACTCAAAATCTTCCTCGGAAGAAAACTTCAGGACAAGATGATTTCACTAGTGAATTTAATTTAATATTCTAGGAAGAAAAAACAACCTTACCACAATCTTTTCAGAAAATATACCTTAAAATATTGTATCCAACTCAGATTATACTCCCTAGTATCAAAATCTAGCAAACATATTTTCTTGAACTTTTTATGAAGATAAATAAGCAGTTTTTATCTTTGTATTCATGTATGTCATATGTCTTTCTAACCACCTTTTGTAAGACTACAATTACATAGATATCAACTGTTTGATATTGTATCATTGTTTTCTTTAGCTATGTTCAAGTTTTTCAGCCTTTTATTTTTCTTCTCAGTTTCAGTGTAGACAGCTACTCTTTTAAGTTTCCTGGTTTTTCTTCTGCAATGTTCAATTTGTTGTTTTGCACAGCCAGTTAATTTTCACCATAATTATTATGTTTTTAAGCTTCAGAAGTCCCTTTCTGTTCTTTTGTGTATTGTCATTTTTTTCTGCTACTTGTGGTCAGTTTTTCCTGTAAATATTTGAGCATATTTACAATTGCTCGAAAGTATTTTGTAATTTTTTAAATCACCTCTGTGTTTCCCGGAACTGATTCTATGGATATATTTATCTACTAGTGTTGGGTCATATTTTCTGGCCAGTTGGCATTATTGGACAAATGTTATGTTGTTTACTGATGGATTTTTCTGTCTTCATCTAAATACTATTATTGTTTTCTCTTCATAGGCTATCATGTATTTGCAGAACAGCTTAATTCTTTTGAGGCCTGCTTTTAAACTTTGTGAGGGTAGGTCTGGAGTAGCCTTTTGTTTATGATTTACTTAGCCCCACAACCAAAATATGATATCCTAAGATCACAATTGAAATATTGGTTGTTCCATGAGATTTTGTACTCTGGTTGGTCAGAACTTAAATATCTCCTAGTTCACAGGTCCCTTTTAATTCTTCTTTGCCTAGCCTTGCAGAGTTTCATTCAAGTTATGCTTGGGTTAGAGTTCAACCAAAGATTTATGGAGATTCTTGTGCAAATTTCTGGATTACCTTCTCTGTATGATATCCTTTTTAAAGTACTTTGCCCACTAATTCCTAATATCTCAGTCTTCCCTAATTCTGACCTATCGCTTTGACTTATTATGACCAGTATGGTATACATTTATTTTTTCCTGGAAAGCGATCCCAGGCAGAAATACATAGCAATAGTAATAACCGACTGATTTAATCCCATTCTGTCAGGAATTGCCATCATGGGATGCACATTGTCTAATGCCTGACAGTTTATTTTTTCTTTGTGTAATTCAATTTTTTAGTTGTTTTTAGTTTTAGAAAGTCCAATACCAAGGAATCCATAATGGCTAGAAAAGGAACTCCACTGCTTTTCTTTAGAAATTATGTCAGGATTACCGCTTATCCAAGGCTTCCATGTTGTATGTCTCCTAAACATTTTTAATTGATGATCCCATACCAAACTAATAATGTACGTTCTTATCTTTCTCCACACCAAGATATCTTCTCATTGCTCAATTATTCTTTTCTCTGATGTTCAGAAGTCTTGATTGTTTTCCTTTCACATTTGAAATTAAATTTTAATTATCTACTGTTGCTCCTATGTTTCTACACTTATCTGGCCCCCACCTCTTCTCTGAAGACAACTCCAGATATTCCACCCTCTGATCACTATGCTTAAGTCACACTGGCCTCTGTTATTTTCCTAGAAGACATAAATCTTGTCTCTTTCTTAGGACTTTTGCACAAGCTATTTACATACCTAGTCAACTCTTTCCCCAAATTCTCACATCAGAGTATCTTTTGATGTGAAAGTGTTATATAGGAGTGTAAAAACATAAGAAAAGGCTTAAGTACTACTCAAATAATTTTCATAAAAGTGCACATCTGTGCAACCATAATTTACAGAATATTAAATTATTAATATCATTGAAACTACTTTATGTCCCCCTCAGACATTACTCCACAAACATAACCATTATTCAGACTACCATCTTAATAGATTTTTTTTTGTTTTTCAAATTTATATAAATAAAATTATGTAGTATATAAGCTTTTCTGTCTAACATTGTATACTTCCTGGTTATTTTAGTAGAGTATATTTCAGCCTAATTCGTGTGCTCTTAAAAATTCTGCCTTGTCAGGAGGAGAGCTTGAGTCCAAGAATTTGAGGTTGTAGTACACTAAGGCGATAGCTGGGAATAGCCATTGCACTTCGACCTGTGCAATAACATAGTGAGACCTCATCTCTAGAAAAATAAAATTCTGCTTTATGCGCTTTTAAAATTAGTTATCTTGTCATTATTTAATCATCTACTTTTTTCTAGCCTCTTTCAATATCTGCCAGTTTATCTACCTACCTATTTATACAACTGTGTATCCCCCCTTAGGAAAGATACTCCTTAAAGCCCAATGTCTAAAAACTTGCCTGAAACAAGTAGATACTCAGGGAAGATTTGAGAAATGAATTAATGGAAATTTAAACCAGTGATATTGTCACAGAATCTTTGAGGTGTGGCTTTTCCAGCTGGAAACCTCTGTGGCTGGGGTGGTGCCTTTGCCTGAGTTTTACTCAGGCCCATTGGACTCATTCTGCCCCTCAGCCTAGCAGGCTGCACTTGTCAGTGCAAACAGCTCCAGCCACCAGCATAAGCTTTGGTTCCCTGCGAGGTTGCAGCTGGACCAGGTGTACCACAGGCAGCTTCCATGGCTGGCACCAGGGAACACGATGGCACTTGGAAACCTGGAAATGCCAGGAATGCGGAACCCTAAAGAGGGTGTCACAGCCCTGGCTCAGGGAGCTCTTAGGACTCGGCTCCCTGAAGAGCCACTACTCTTCTCTCCTCTCTTCTCTTCACCCACAAGGTGGTGAGCAAGGGGTGCATTTCAGCCTTGATTTTGTTACAGCTCTTTCAGCCTCACGATTCAATGGGTCATGAGTTCTTGTCCCGTGTCCAGGAAGAATGAAGTACACTGAGAAGTGGAGGGTGAGCAAGTGGAGAGGAGCCTTATTGCATGACAGAACAGCTCGGTGGAGAATCGCAGCGGGCAGCTCCTCTCTCCAGGCAGGTTGTCCCGTCGTCTACCCTCGTCTGGGGTTTTCATGGGCTTCAGAAGGGAGGAAGTACATGTCGATTGGTCCATGGGTGGCCATGAGTGGGCCCAGGAAAAGTACCATAAATTCTCACTCTGGTCCCTAGGCTTCAGGGGTCCCTGGCCTAAAAGTGGGGTTTCAGCGGGGACCCGCCCCTTTCCACCCAGGAGCCTGTCTGCCTCCCACTATCATTAATCTTCTGTCCACAGTGCCCACAGCACCCAGGCTGTTCATGCCAAGGAATGCCTGCAAGCCCATGCTAAGCTGCTCCCTTGGCACCTCTCCCATACTTATTGGCACCCAAAGTCTGGAGGGGGACGAGGTGCCAGGGGGCTGGCATGACAGTGCTGCCCCGAGCATGCACACACCTGACTGGGTTGTGACAGTGTCCAAGCTTGTCCATAACTTTGCTCCAAAATCAGAGTAGGTGCTGGGAGTGAGGAGAGGCCAGGTGTTCCTCACTGCTGCTGGCATCATGGCAGTGGCCACTCCAGACAGGCCACTGTTGCCTTCACTATGAAATCTCTCCCATCTTGTCTTTTCCATTAAATTCTTTGTAGTTTGTGGCATTTGAAGAGACTTAAATTTGCTTTTGGTTCTAACACCAACTTGCTACCGTGTTTTTTGCCTCTTTGTTACTTAGATAACATTGAGAAAATAGGAGTATTCGATACAAGAGTTCAAAATCTGAGCTTATCTAGATCTCCTCACGTTAGTCTTAACTGTTTTTCTCACATCATTTTTTCTTTTTTGTGAAAAATGAACATTGAAATACTATGTAGCAACTCTGGAATCTAGAAAAATAGGTAAAGAGTTGTAAGGCTTACATGTGCACATTGGTATCTGACTGCTTATGTATACTGTGAACATCGAACATCCATTGAAACATGAAAGAACCATGCTTATTTAGTGAATTGCTGCAAGTATCCATTTGATGTGGTTTGTCTGTGTCCCCACCCAAATCTCATCTTGAACTGTAGTTCCCATAATCCCCATGTGCCTTGGAAGGGACCTGGTGGGAGGTAATTGAATCATGGTGGCAGTTACCCCCATGCTGCTACTCTTGTGACAGTGAGTGAGTTCTCACAAAATCTGATGGTTTTAAAAGGGGCTTTCCCCTTTTTGCTCTGCACTTTTCATTGCTGCTGCCGTGTGAAGAAGGACATGTTTGCTTTCCCTTCTGCCATGATTGTAAGTTTCCTAAGGCCTCTCCAGCCATGTGGATCTTGAGTCAATTAAACCTCACTCCTCAATACATTACCCAGTTATCAATACGTCTCTATTAGCAGCATGAGAAAGGACTAATACAGTAAATTGGTACTGGGTAGTGGACTGCTGCAGTAAAGATACCTGAAAATGTGGAAGCAATGTTGCAACTGGGTCACAGGCAGAGGTTGGGAAAGTTCGAAGGGGTCAGAAGAAGATAGAAAAATGTGGGAAAGTTTGGAACTTCCTAGCGACCTGTAGAATGGCTTTGACCAAAATGCTGATAATGATAGTGATGTGGATAATAAAGTCCAGGCTGAGGTTGTCTCAGATGGAGATGAGAAATTTTTTGGGAACTGGAGTAAAGGTCACTCTTGCTATGCAAAGAGACGGTGGTATTTTGCCCCTGCCCTTGAGATCTGTGGAAGTTTGAACTTGAGAGAGATGATTTAGGGCATATTGCAGAAGAAATTTCTAAATGGCTAAGCAGTCAAGAGGAAGCAGAGCATAATAATTTATAAAATTTTCAGCCTGATGATGTGACAGAAAAGAAAACCCCATTTTCAGAAAAGAAATTCAAGTCCACTGCAGAAATTTGCATAAATAACGAGGAGATAAATGTTATTTACCAAGACAGTGGGGAAATACCTCTAGGGCATGCCAGAGACCATGATGGCAGCCCCTGCCTTCACAAGCCTGGAGGTGTAGGAGAGAAAAATGGTTTTGTGGGTGGACCCAGGGGCCCCTGTTCTGTGCAGCCTTAGGACATGGTGCCCTGTGTTCCAGCTGCTTCAGCTTCTTCAGCAGTGGCTAAAATGGGCCAACATACAGCTCAGGAAGTTACTTCAGACAGTGTAAGCTCCAAGCCTTCATGGCTTTCACATGATGTTGGGCCTTTAGGTGCCCAGAAGTCAAGAATTGAGGTTTGAGAACCTCCACATAGATTTCAGAGGATGTAGGGAAAGGTCTGGATGTCCAGGTAGAAGTTTGCTGCGACAGTAGTGCCCTTTTGGAGAACCTCTGCTCAGAAGGGAAATGTTGTGTTGGAGCACCCACACAAAGTCCCCACTGGGGAACTTACTAGTGGAGCTGTAAGAAGAGGGCCATCTTCCTCCAACTCACAGAATGGTAGATCCGCGGACAGCATGCACCCTGTGCCCAGAAAATCTGCAGACACTCAACAACCCAATAAAGCAACTGGAATCGGGTCTGTAGTCTGTGTAACCACAGGGGTGGAGTTGCCCAAGGCCATAGGAGCCCACCTCTTGCATCAGCACGCCCTAGATGTGAGACATGGAGTCAAGGAAGAACATTTTGGAACTTTAAGGGTTAATGACTGCTCTATTCAGTGTTGGACTTGCAGATGGCCTGTAGCCCCTTTGTTTTGGCCATTTGCAACAAATGTATTTACCCAATGCCTGTACCCCCATTATATCTGGGAAGTAACTAAGTTGCTTTTGGTTTTGCAGGCTCGTAGGCAGGAGGGTCTTGTCTCAGATGATACTTTGGACTTGGACTTTTGAATTAATGCTGGAATGAGATAAGACTTTAGGGGATTGTTGGGAAGGCATGATTGTGTTTTCAAATGTGAGAACATGAGATTTGGGAGGGGCTGGGGTGGAATGATATTGCTTGGCTGTGTCCCCACCCAAATCTCTCCTTGAATTTTAGATCCCATAATCCTCTCATGTCATGAGAGGGACTTGGTGGGAGGTAATTGAAACATGGGGGTAGTAACCCCCATGCTGATGTTCTTGTGATAGTGAGTTCTCACAAGATCTGATGGTTTTATAAGGGACTTTTCCCCTTTTGCTTGTCACTTCTCCTTGCTGCTGCCATGTGAAGGAGGACATGTTTGCCTCCTCTTGCACCATGATTGTAAGTTTCCTGAGGCCTCCCTCGCCATGCACATCTGTGAGTCAATTAAACCTCTTTTATTTATAAATTACCCAGTCTCAGGTATGTCTTTATTAGCAGCATGAGAACACACTAATAGACGATTCTAGAGAATATATTAGAAATTGGTTTAAAGTCTATAAAATTTAATTGTAATTTCTATTTAGAATAGGGGTTTAAAAGTGTGTGGTTTAAAAAAGCATACATATAAACCATTATTTTAAATAATAATAATATAATGTATAATAATAAGCCTGTAATGTATAATAATAAGCATAATATAATTTATAATAATAATATGCCCTACTATCAAGGTATACATATAAAAGGAATCTTCTGGAAAAAAAATAGAGTGAATATAAAACCACTCACCTTAAGAACAGAATAATTTATGTCACCTTAGATTATGATTCTATTAGTATATGTATACAAAATTTGATGATGCATAACTAGAAAAATGAAAAAGTGTGTCCTTTAGAACATTCTTTTTTTTTAGGTTTGTTTTCCCATTTATTTTATATTTTTCATAAGTTTAAAATTTACTTACATTGAAAACTCCACCAAATCTTATACCTTTGATTTCAATATTAATATATATTTTAAAGTATTTCAGAGAAAAGTAGGCTTTTATACTTAATCATATAATGTTGCTCTTTCTTCAAACTTAAAGATTTCAGTTTCCCTTTGGTATAATTTTCCTTCATTCTGATGAACTTCCTTTAGCATTTCTTGTAAAACACATCTGTGGGTAACAGATTCTCTCATTTTCCCTTTTTCTGAGAATGTCTTTATTTCACCTTCAATTATGAAATATATTTTCACCAGATATTTAAGCTGAATTACATACTGAAGCTGAAAACCATAAGCAGGTACCAATAATATCCTTTATATTTCTAACTATACTATGTTGATATTCCATGTAAGAATATCAAGTGATATAGTATGTAATAAAATATAGCACTCAGAAATAACAATAGAAAAGAACTTTCAGCTCATCAAGAAAAATATTATTTAATTTCTAAGTATATATTATTAACCTAAGTTTTCTTAAATAGCACTGTAAAAATACATGTATAATATATTATAAATTTTGCAATGATATAATAATAAGCATACATTATAAACCATTGTTTTAAAATATTATTTTAAATAATAATAATGAGGTCAATATTTTCTCATCTTGCATGCAAATATGTAGATTCAAAAGCTGAAAAATATTGCCAACCAATTAAACACAGGTAAAAAACTAGAATTTAGAAAACAAGCCCATACTCTCGAGCCTAATTTTGTATGTCTCTTCATTATAGCAAGTATAATACAGTTAAATTTAAAATAAAACAAGAAGGTATATAAACTTTACATTTAAAATTTTAAATATAAAATGTTACATTTAAAAATATGTTCCTTCTATATATGAGAAAATATACTTCTTACCATCTCCAGTGTTTTCTCAAATCTTGTATTTTATTCCCTCTTATATGAAAACTTGGGTCTGTATCCAAGAATATAGGAGTGCAGCTGTTGTTTATCCTGGACTATTCACTTTTACTTCTAATAGTCCATGCACAGCTGTGGAGTTGAAGGGATTAAAAAGTTAGACTAGAGAAAGTTATGCACTGTCTACAAAAAAAAAAACAACAATTTTAAACTCTTCATAGTTTACAAATCTTAACTTCTATCTCTTGAGGTAATCCTGATTCCATTATATATTCCTGGACTGCTAAAATGACCAACATCTTACTTACTTTTGATGTTGGAAATAAAGTGTTTCTTGCCTTTAGCAATAATAAAATCTTTACAGAGAAGTTGCATCCCACAGACTTCAAGCAGTATTACAAAATATAATCCTTTTAACCATGATCTAGTGCCCATAGCACTTGAAAAAACTTTAGAACTAATATATAAATAGTGCTAAAGAAAAGAAAGGAAGAAACAGGAAGAAAGCTTTCAGCTCTTATTTCAGATTTGGGATACTGTTTCTGCATCTAGAAAAACATGTTGTTTAAAAATACAAACTTTCACAAATTTGTAATTAAACAGTTTAGTATAGAACACTCTACTAGAAACCAAGCAAAATTAATAGGAAATACAACATCCATGCCTCCAAAAGACTATCTAAAAAACAGATAACAGAAATTGAATTCTATTTAGAGAAGAGATCCATTACCAGCCAAACTAGAATTATACTTTAGTCTAACACACAAGAAATGCTAGATAATACATGTCTCAAAATTGTTACTGCCCAAATTAACAGGTATACCATTTAGCATGGCTGCACTATGAACAGGTTACAAGCAGATGAAAATATTGATCATTTAGCTTTGAAATTAGTGAATAGTACTTGAGGCAGACAGGAATATATCTGACTCCTACAGAGGCTGCTCACTTCACATGGGCACAACTGCATTCTTTTACCCAGGTACACTTGACTAATTATATTAGTTTCAATGTATGGCACAAATGAAAAACTTTTTGAA
Source organism: Homo sapiens (assembly GCF_000001405.40). NCBI lineage: Eukaryota > Metazoa > Chordata > Mammalia > Primates > Hominidae > Homo > Homo sapiens. Next base: position 89,180,308 of record NC_000013.11, on the reverse strand, counting down.
GTATTACATTAACCATTCTATAATCTGTCATGGAGAAAACAATCAATAGCGCATCCAAATGAAGAGAAACCAGATACTCCTGAAAATATGAAAGGTTATGAGAAAGGGAGAACATATGGATGCTATGGCTTGTCTACCACAAATCAAGAGTAAATGTGCAGCAATCTAAGACACCAAGTATATTGTATATAGACAGAAAGGTCAATGGAACAAAAAGAACAGTCCAGAAACAGACTCATAAATAGATGGAAACTTATTTCGCATAATTGTGATATGAAATGTGGGTGGGTGGGGAAAATACTAATTAAGTGAATTTTTTTCTATAAGAATTAGTATTTCATAGGAACACTTTTACACTGTTGGTGGGACTGTAAACTAGTACAACCATTGTGGAAGTCAGTGTGGCGATTGCTCAGGGATCTAGAACTAGAAATACCATTTGACCCAGCCATCCCATTACTGGGTATATACCCAAAGGACTATAAATCATGCTGCTATAAAGACACATGCACACATATGTTTATTGCAGCATTATTCACAATAGCAAAGACTTTGAACCAACCCAAATGTCCAACGATGATAGACTGGATTAAGAAAATGTGGCACATATACACCATGGAATACTATGCAGCCATAAAAAATGATGAGTTCATGTCCTTTGTAGGGACATGGATGAAATTGGAAATCATCATTCTCAGTAAACTACCGCAAGAACAAAAAAACAAACGCCGCATATTCTCAGTCATAGGTGGGAATTGAACAATGAGAACACATGGACACAGGAAGGGGAACATCACACTCTGGGGACTGTTGTGGGGTGGGGGTAGGGGGGAGGGATAGCATTGGGAGATATACCTAATGCTAGATGAAGAGTTAGTGGGTGCAGCACACCAGCATGGCACAGGTATACATATGTAACTAACCTGCACATTGTGCACATGTACCCTAAAACTTAAAGTATAATAATAATAAATAAAAAAACAAACAAAAAAAACCCATAGAAAAAAAGAGACAGTACTGCAGACCATGAACAACAACAAAAAAAGAATTAGTATTTCAATAAAAATGTGAAAGAAATTTAATAGTTATGCTTACACTTTTATTAAACATAAATTCTAGGTTTTTAATATTTGAATGTGAAAGGAAAACTATAAAAGAATAGAGAAAATACAGGAAATTGAATTCATAATTATGGAACAGGAGTGAATTTCCTAAATAAGGGACAGAAAACACATAAATTATGAAAAAAGGATACATTTTTCACTGAAATTGCTAAGATATGTTTATAAAAGGCAGCATAAAGTCATTGAAAGATAAACTGAGATTACACATAAAATTGGCAACTAGAGTACCCATGCACACTCACACATATATGTAGACACGCATACATAGTTGTGTGCTTGTAGTCTGCAATTTAAGAGAAAAAGACAAAAACATTGAAAAATTGGGCAAATGCTTGAATAGCCAATTTTGAAAAGAGCAATAAAGAGTCAATAGCTATATGAAAAAAGTATTTATCCTATACATTAATCAGATGTTATCCAATCTAGTAGACAAGCAAAAAATTAAAGGCCATAGAATTCCCAGTGGTAATATAGAGCAAGATGAGTAACTTCTTCATTGCTTGCAGGAGTATTAATTAGTACAACCATTTGAGGAACCATTTTACATTCACAATATGACCCATCAATTATACTACTTTGTATGAACTACAGAAAAACACTTCTCAATATACATAAAAATGTTCACATGAACACTCTTCAGAAGAGAAAACAACTGAAATGTCCATCAAGATTGTAACATGTAAATATATTTTGCTTAATTAATATAATGAATATACATGGCTCCATCACAAGATTAATGTTGAGTAATTTTTTAAAAAACATACAGAAAAATACATTACTCTGTAAAATGTTTATAAAAAGAGAAAATATATTCTTTACAGATACATAGTTGGTAAAACTATGAAGAAAATTAAAGTAATAATTGATACATAGTGTAGAATATTCTATTTCTCTGGTTGAGAGAATGGCAATAGTGAAAGGGAGAAATGATTGAGAAAGGCAAACAGATTCCCAGGAGAAACAGGTAATATTTAGGTACTTTGCAACAAAAGTTAAGTCTCTCCCAAGATGTGGTCATTAGCCAACTTGTCAGAGATTCTGAATTCTAATCCTTTTCTACTGTGGCTAAAATACATTGATACAAATAAACATAGTAATTTCTTTAAGTTTAGATTTTTCATAAATCTGCAACAGTTTTCTGTAGGACATTTTCTTCTGTAGACTGCTCTACTAAGTATATTTAGATTGATACCTGTTTACAGAAAACAATTTATTTTTATGTATGTCTGTTAGCTTGAAAATTAGAAAAGGAAGCTATGATGAGCTGAGCACTTTATTCTATAAAGAAAATAAGTTTTTCAAATTCCGTGTGCACAGTTTTATCCATCACTTCTCTTGGAATGATTTGTCTGTTCACATAGAGTACAAGTGAGGGATGGCACCTTCTTACGAATGAAAGTATTGTTCTTACTATCATGTTAGTCAGAATATAAGATTATCCTACTAGAATATGCTAAAAATTATATTCCAGCCCAGGCACTTCCAAGTGGAAAGTGAATGGCTTACCAAATTTTTAGATGCTGAATATTCACTAGATAAATAAGCAAATTTCAAAACTACAAACTATTGGGATACATTTTGTAAATATAGAATGATAGTATCAAATCTGTCTTCACAACAAACATACAAATGAATTACAAAGCAACAGCATTGATCTACATACACAAGAAGAGCAGATGCCAGATATAGTAGAACCAGGAATCCAGTGAACAATATCAAAGCTAAGAGCAAGATATTCCTCAGTATGCACATGCCTTTCATTTATGTTGAGACGTGATTGTTTTTTGTTCTTTTGATATAATTGTGTTGCCTGGTTCCATAGTACTGATTAGGTCTGTGAAGGAGTCTTACTATGATCTTTTTGCTGCAGCAATTGAATCCTTTCTGACACTTTGAGAGTTCTGACCTACAGCTTAGGCCAGGATATAAGATAATTTAGGTGAGCAATAAAAAGGAAAAATTGAATGTGGAATTAGTCAAGGCTGGGCTACTTGAGTTTAGTGATTCACAATGGTTACAAAATTCAGAATTCCATGACTTTTCCGTGTTATACTCATTATAACTGTTCAGTAATTAAGCACCGTGTTTAAGCCGAGCTCTTGTGTTATAAAATGTGCTCTGGAGCAGCACTGAATTGCAGATGTGCCAACATTTTCTCTCTGTGAGATTCTGAGCTCTTATAGATGATTGTCTTTCTACAAAGCTTCCATATATAAATACATTTCAAAACTAACGTTATGATGAAAAGTATGTTTACAAAATAATACTTTTTAAAGTTAACATTGTGTTGAAAAATTTATATAAATAATTAACTCTATACCAAAATCCTGGCAAGACAAACTGAAAGTGGTAAAGAAGCTGACAGAATACAATATGTCTAATAACTGACAATGATGATGTTCACATCAAGATTCTTTATGGACCAATTTTGATGCTCTAATTATGAAGTACTGTGTTTTGCTGCTACACAATTCACGGTGAAGTACTTCTTTACGAGATTTTACAATAAATGACACAGATTTTAGTCATATTTTATAATATTAAAAATGTGTAAGAGTATGCCTGAACTCCCCAGGAAAATACTAATTTACAGAGAGATCTATTGCGGGGTAAAGGTTAGCCTTGATCACAAGAACAGAGTTCACGTTCCATGCTTTTCTTGAAATACCTATGTCATTGAAAAGATAAAGAAAATGTGGAATATGCACATAATGGTACACTCTTCAGCATTAAAAACAAAGGATATTCTGTGATTTGCAGCAGCATGAATGAATTTAGAAGATTCATTTCTTATTGACTCTTTTTGCTTTTTTTTCGCTTTGAAGTAGTATATAGGTCATAACTGTGAAAATATACTTCATAGTTAGAGTTAGTACTTTTGTCTTTCCCTTATTACTATGTAGGATTTTAAAAGAGTTGGTACATGGATACATTTTGATGAATTATAGATAGCCGAATTTCAATATTGAAAAAAGAACGTTCATGTTTATTAAAGTCATAATATATTTCAGGTTCTGTAGTAGGTTAACATAATGTATCATATATAATGGTAAATGTTTGTCTTTTTCAGTACTATAGTTGTGATACTGAAATAAGAACTTTGATTTAATTTTCCAACCACATTTTAAACACTGGCATGGGTATTTGTATTAATTATGTAGACACATTTATTATAATGTTGGTTTCAGTATTTAATTTACAAATAATTGTTTTCAGGTCATAATAACTTAATAGATATATTTTATTAAAAAGCACTCCTCCAATCTAGAAGGTGTGTATTTAATACATAATTTATATTTTATGCTTTTATTTTTATACACTGGTTTTTGCTTTACTAGAAATGGAATGAGAATGCTAGCCTTTTCCCTGATGTCTCAGTGCAAAAGCTCTGCTCTAAATCCTACCATAACTAAGAAGCAGAAGTTCCCAGAGGGGCACAGAGAAGAATTCTGGCTTTTCTAAAACAATTTCCAAGCAATAAGCCTAGAATAATATAAATCCTGCTTCTTCCTGAGGATGTTCTGATGGCTTTATTTTTTCCCAATGTGAAATTATTATGTTAAGAAATAAACTGAAAAGCAGTCTTAAAATGACTAAAAAGTTATTTTAATATTCAGTATCAACACTCCCATTTTACCATTAATAACTAGAATAGCTAATTCTTAAGTAGCCTTTGCAGTTGTAAAAGCCCAAGAGGTAAATGGAAAAGAGAAAGGAATACCCAGGATTCACACACATTTTATTTTTTAGGAAGGCTGAGGAAAATGACCCTCAGTAATGTTTTAGCCGTATCATTTTTCTATCACAACACAAAGCGAGGGGTGATACATCCACACGATATTATTGTGCCATAAACACAAATTCCAAAAGGATATTTCTAAAATTTAAGACTCCCAAGTATCTCTTCATCCTCAAATTAGTTTAAGATAGAACTTACAGTAATTTACAAATTATTGATAGTAATTAACAAATCAAAAAACAACTTGGTTGAAAACGAATACAATGTTAAAACTATTTGCCAGTGAAGAACTGGATGTACTATTGGTTTTGTACATCTTTCCCAAGTTAATGTGTGCCAAAAATATTTGTGAAAGCAGGTATAATTTTATACCTCTTGTGTCCTTCAAAATTGAGGTAAATGTCACCAGGTTTTAGGGCTCATAAAGTAAAATAAGTCCACATCTTTTTAAAATGCATGCTTATACATCACACTGTGTGGTTTGATATGACTTTGAATCACCTCTTCGACATCATCTTCTCATGTCCTAGGCACAGCTATTGTACCATCTTCTCATACAGGCAGTTCCATGTGAAGCTTTTGCTCACATCCTTTGAAATCACTTAGATTTGAAGTTTTGGCTTGGGTATTACTGGCTCTGTGGGCTTAGGTAAATAATCGATGTAAAACTCAGATTTTTTATCTTCAAAATAGAATATTTTGTGGTGACTTCCTCTATGTCCTGAGTGTACAGAAAGACTTTCAGAAGAAGAAATTTTAAAAAGGATAGGTAAATTTGACTATACAAAATTAATTTTTATGAGAAAAATACACCATAAGCAAAGACAAAAGTCAATTGACAAGCTACATGAAACTATTTTTAACATACATTTTAGATAATGGCCTAATGGCATAATATTCCAAATACTTGAAGAATTTTTAAAAGTTGAGCCAAAAAGACCAAAATAATATAGATAAATGGGCAAAATACATGAACAATTCACAAAAAAAATATCAAATGGTTCTAATATACCCACACGCATATGGGTATATAAGAAAATAATATATTCAACGTATATATATGGCTATAATGTATTCAATTTCATTTATAATAAGGGAAATGCAAGTTAACTAGGAAACAAAATTAAAAGTGGAGAACAATTGCTTGCCCATCAAACTGACTAAATTAGAAAAGAAAGAAAAGAAACAAAGAAGAGAAAAGGGAAGGGCAAGGGGAGGGGAGGAGAGGGGAGGGGAGGGGAGGGAGGGGAGGGGAGGGGAAGGGGAGGGGAGGGGAGGGGAGAGAAGGGAAGGGAAGGGAAGGGAAGGGAAAGGAGAAAAGAAAACGAAAGGGCTGAGTCTGTGGGAAAAGGATCATGTTAAGTTAAAAAAAGACAATGTGTGAAAGATTATATACACTGTATTAATCTTTAAGTAAAACAGGAGGGAATATGAGAAAATGTAGTTTTATCTGCTTATCTTTACAAAACTAAAAAATTAGAAAGGATAACCAGAAAACACTGAAATTGAATATATACAAAGAGTGGAGAGTAGTGAGATAAAAGACATGCAGAAGGGAGTGATACTGCTCTGTATACAGCTTTCCATAATAATTTTGACTTTTGGAACCATGTAAATAAGTTCCACATTCTGAAGATAATATTATAAATTAATCCACTTATTTAAATGTAAATCTCACCTTAAAACACTCACAGAAACATCCAAAGTAACGTTTGATCAAAAGCTGGGCACCAGGGGCCTGCCAAGTTGAAATAATATTAAACACTACACTCATTATTCACAAAATAAAGACTGCATTACTTCTAAATCAAGAAAAAGGAAATCATTAAGTAAAAGTTATATGAATATTCTGGTCCAATTTATTCACTTTTTTTCTAATTGGAGCAGAGGAAAGGTGGAAATACACTCAAATGTAATGACATTTGTATTTGGATGTCTTTAAGGCTTTATACACAGATTTTATTTTCCCATAACTATATCGTTTTTATTTTTGCCAACTTCTTAACTAACATTTTCAACAACTGATAATTAAAAGATTCATATGGTGAATACACATATACCACCCCTATGTAGGTTCCCCAATTATACAAATGTTAATGTATTAATTCTCTCTCTCTCTCTCTCTCTTTTTCTATCTCTCCCCCACTTCTCCTTTCCAGAATAAAGAGTTGGGAATGATTCAATTACTACATCACCTAAAGTTGGAAGAGAAGCTGAGGTTCTGGCTGAGAGCAACAACAACAAATTGAAATAGGTCTTTGAAGAGCAAAGTCTAGATATTATCTAGGATCCATGACCAACTACAGAAACACCAAGTGTAATAGCTTGTGTGTTTCCCTACTGCTTGTTATATTCACGCATTTATTTTATGTACTAATCAATCTTTTATTCCTTCTCTTTGTTGCCCTCGTTCTTGTGTATTTTATATACTAGTTATTGGAAGTTAATTTGCAATTCAGTATTAAGTAAAAGAATATTCAATGCATCAGACCATTCATTTAAACCACCTGCGAATTTTGAGAAGTGAGAAATGCAGCTTTTTATAGATACAATAACTGTTGGAAATGTGTGTCTTCTCATTTTGGAGAAGAGTGAGAGCTTCTCCATTTGTAAGGAGAGATGTGTGCCGTTTAGGTATACGTGTAGAGTTAACTTATTATAATGAGGAGTTCAAATATATGTAGAGGGATGCTTATTTGGAGTAACCAAATAATAAATAACCTGAACTTAATCATGTTCTTCATTATCAATTCTTTGCCTTTCAGCTCTGAATGTACCCTTCAGTAAATGGCGTAGGATAAACAGCAGTATCCCTTTGAATATTTCTCCTTTGAAGTGAACATGTTATTATGTTCTCTCAGTAGAGAGCTCTGGAAGGACATTATAGGAGGAAGAGAATCTCCTGCTAATTAGCGTTTAGGCAGAGTAGGCCTGTTGATAGCTTTTCTGTAGACATCCGGACACTCTGAAAACTACCAGCTGCACTGATGACCAAACGACTCATGTGGCCTACTCGCCATAATGTCTCTTCTCTACTAGTGGTGCCTGCACTTCCTCTGTAAGTCTCTGTACAGCCTACATGCAGCTCGTGGCCAGAAGGATCACCTATCAGACTTCCACTCTTTCCACAGGACCTACACAGCCTGTATTCTCCGATGGCTACCTGCACCTACTCTGCTCAGATTCCTACTGCACACCTGTGATACCTGTTACTTATTCCTTGTTTTCTTTTTCTTTTCTTTTGAGACAGAGTCTCTCCTTGTCACCCAGGCTGGAGTGCAATGGCACAATTTCGGCTCACTGTAACCTCCACCTCCTGAGTTCAAACGATTCTCTTGCCTCAGCCTCCAGAGTAGCTGGGATTACAGTTGCCTGCCACCACACCCAGCTAAATTTTTTTGTATTTTTTTTTTTTAAATAGAGGTGGGGTTTCACCATGTTGGCGAGGCTGGTCTTGAACTCCTGACCTCATGATCTACCCATCTCAGCCTCCCAAAGTGCTGGGATTACAGGCGTGAGCCACCATGCCCAGCCTATTTCTTGTTTTCTTACCTGTACTCCAGAAAAGAAGGTGGCCTACTGCTTTCTCAATAGCAACAGACTAGCTCCAGCCTCGCCAAGCAAGTGAATATTATAGACAACTGAATGATATCTTCTCCAGCTAGGTCTCAACCTCTTTTGAGTTTATCTTCTCTTGGGTACTCTTCCATGTTTAGCTTCCTTATATGCTATAGGTTTCGTTTTATCATAGCTATTAAAGCTTTACATTAAATTTCGTGTTACTGTGTGTTTTCTATATCCTTACTAGTTCTGAACTGCTATATAAAGAAGTATAAATTAATGCAGATTATATAAAGCTTAAGGATGATTAATATAAGGAAATTGGAACTCTTAAAGAGTTTCATTGTTGTTGTTTGTTGTTGTTTGTTTTTTCCTTCATATGAAGAAAACCTGAAACATACATTTTGTACCAGATTATGTTTCACAATACTAACTAAAGTGGTGGCAAACTACATTCCCTCCTATATCTGTGGCATTAAGGATCCAGAGTGGTAAACTCTTAGAAAGAAGATTTGCTGTAAAATTCATTTTGTTGAGTGCTGACAAAAGTTCAAATCACTGAGACATATAAAATACTAGTTTCAAAACCTTAACTCAGAGAGAGTCTGTACGCATTTTCAGCTTAAATCTCTGCATGAAAAGTATTTCTTGCAATAAAATACAATTGACTCATTCGAGAAAGACTGACTGAAATAAAAAAACAAGGGAGACAAATAAGTTTGCTTGTTATTGTGATCTTTGCACTTTGCCCTGGAAATACTTTTCTAAACATATTTTGAACAGTAATAACTATACAATAATATCAGACTAGCCCATGATGCACAAGCTAAACTAAAACATTTCTGAATCTTTATAATAGTCTTGATTCCAGTTCCATAAAGAAACATATCTCTAAATGATAGTAATAAGATATTCTAACTAAAATAGTTAGAAACATTTTAAAAATGTAGTCATTATACAACCATCTGGCCTTTAAAGCAATACTGATTTTAACTTTCAGTTAATTGGAGAAAGAGAGAATTTACCTGAATTTTCATTTCCCCTTCTATTCTTCTAAAGAGTTAGAGAAATGAAATCTAACAGGTAGTAAAAGTGACAAATAAAAACATATAAACAATCTTTAACATATTGTAGCAAACCATTACTAGAAATATGACAATGTTATCCCTGATTTTATTTTATATTGGGCCTCTAAAATATTAATGTCCATTTTAATATGATCTTTAAATTATTTGATATGCTATTAATAATTTTGTTACTATCAAAAAATCCATTGCATGTACTCCAGACATCGAAGACTTACTCAAAGATTGAAATGCCTGTGAATATGTGTCTTTGCCTGCTTGCAGTAGCTGCGGGACGGGAGGTATACAGCTGTATCCCTGCGAAGCCTTGTAGATATCTGTTCTATTACTATACCTGTATATACAAACATTATGTGAAAATGCAAACCATTTTTCTGATATCTAATTCTTCCTTCCACTTTGTAATTTATCTTCAATCTCACTTTAGAAAAATTATCCTCAAAATGTATCTTCCTCGTGAAATTTAGTGTATACTTCTTGGTATGGTAATCAAAGGACACAATGAATGGAGAAATTATGTAGGCATAGCCAATTATATCTTCAGTACATTGGAACTTAAGTGATTGAAACAAAGTCCAAGGGCCAGGAAATGTGTTCATTACAGTGACAACTGCAATGTGTTGACTAGTTTGTTTATCTCTGTGACCTTTGCTGTAGCTTCTGCTACTCAATCCTCCAGTGTCCCTCTGGGAACTGCCACTTCTGCAAGCCTAATCCTTCACCTTCCTAATGATTATAAGAGGCCCAGTTTTTTTTTTAATCACTTCACTTAAAAGTACATAGAGATATTCTGTTGTTTGCAGTTCATTGTTTAAGTATGTTGCTTGCTTCTTCTGTCTGGGCTTGTCAGATAAGTAGATCAGTTCTCAAAACCCCCAAAAATGAAACATGGGCTAGAATAGAGAATTTGGTCATATTTCTACTAAAGGTTTGCTGCAGCATGTTTATGGTTCTCTACATTTTTATTTGTCCTTTTTACTACCTGTATAATTTGATTATTTTATACTTTTAGCTGAGATTTTGGGGGTTATTTTATTTAGCTTCAGCTACCAATATTTTAAATAAAAGTTAATTTATGTATGTATTTTTTCATTTTTATGTTTATCAGTAATCTCAAAGACATAAGGAAGATTGATGCAATAATACCTTAGGCTTTAAGAAAGATAAAATACCTTTCTACCCTGGTGTATTTGACTTCACAATTTTCCAATATTGTCTTTAATTATTAGGTGCTCTTATTATTTCATTAAATGAACCATTTTAAATACATATGTGTTGTGTATGGGTGCATGTATATATATATATATTTCTGTATATATATATATATTTCTGTATATATATAAAAACATATATAGGTGTTCGTACATATATGTTATATACACATATATATACACATATACATACACTCGTATGTTAAAGGTGGTTCATTTAAGGAAATAAGATAATCTAATAATTAAGGAAGGTATAGGAAAATTGAAAAGTCAAATATGCCAGGGTAGAAGGGTATTTAATATATAATAGGCTTCTTAATACTCTTCTATAAATATAATACTCTTCCATATATACGTGTAATTATATCTCTCTCTATATATATATGGAGAGAGAGAGAGAGGGGCTGTTATGTTTTCAAACATAACATAGAGGAGAGATTAGTCAGTTTGTGTTGAATAAATTTAGTTAACAGGGTAAAGTGATTCTACCTTTACATATCCATTGTGTATTACTGGTTGTGTTTGTTAAACTTAAATTATCATTACAATTTTGGGATATTTTATCTTTGTTCTGCTTAAGATGAATTACTAGCCCCAAAATGGTAATGATAAAAATGCAACCACAGAACTCAGAAAAAGAAATACAGAAGTTTGTTGTGAATACAATCGTGCAAGTACAAATAAATCAGCAAGTAGGAGTTTTTCACACAGGTATCTGAAAACAGGTTTGAGTTGGAACTTAGTGGCTCAGTAATCCATTTGTCTTTAATTTCCAGTGTGATCCCTTTGAGTAATTGGTTTTAACAAATGAATGTAATGATGTTATCAAGGTTTTCATTCAATTTTTATAGAAACACAATAGCAATTCTAATAAAATATATATTTTCAATATTTTCTCTGAATGTGTTATGATTTTTCAGCTTAGGATAGAAAATTAAAGAAAATCAAAGAGGCAGTCTTCAAAGGTCATGCCCTTATACAGCAAAGTACGTGCAATGTTACTGCCAAGACATTTATAATGTCAAACACAACAATAGTACTAAATTGTGTGTTATATAAGAAAACGCAGTGTGTGTTTACTAACAATTCTTTCTAAAATGATACTATTCAACATTTCACAATATGAATTACACAGTATGAAAGAGCAACTGCCATTATTTGGACTTGGTGGTAGGTATTTCATCTTACGATTTAATAAATCCTCTGATGTGCAGAACATGAATCGGCTCTTGCCATGTTTGTTTTTAGAAATAAAAGAAAGTACACAGTTTTTATTTATCATTGAAACCATCGTAAGTGAGAAGATTTTCTTTTTTAACCATGTTAGGTATTATTTGAGCTGTAGAACTTCTAGAAAGAAGTGCTTTAGGAACAGTGCTGATAGAGCATCAACTGTGTATAAAGCAAGTGAGATGAGGCATCCCTAAGCAAATAGAAGGTAGAACTAACTGCCAGTTCACACACCCTTGGATTATTCAATAAAACAGTGGGCGATCACTTGCACAACTCGTCTGGATTCAGTGTTAAAGGAATATTTAAATATTTTAATACAATCAAATTATGGTCACAGATTATGTACCCACAACACATGGTGTCCACCACAAGAAACAGTGAAAACAGGATGTAAGTGTTCACCTCAATAGGCTATATCTGCCCATGTTCATCTTGATACACTATATCTGTCCATGTTCAGCTCCATATACTATGTCTCTTCTTGTTCACATGGATACATTATGTCTGTGCATGTTCAAGTTGATGCACTGTGTTTGTCCATGTTCACTTTGATGCACTATGTCTGTACATGTTCACCTTGATACACTATGTCTGTCCATGTTCACTTTGATGCACTGTCTGTACATGTTCACCTTGATACACTATGTCTGTCCATGTTCACCTTGATGCACTGTGTCTGTCCATGTTCACCTTGATACACTGTGTCTGTCCATGTTCACCTTGATACACTGTGTCTGTCCATGTTCACCTTGATACACTGTGTCTGTGCATGTTCACCTTGATACACTGTGTCTGTTCATGTTCACCTTGATACACTGTGTCTGTCCATGTTCACCTTGATACACTGTGTCTGTCCATGTTCACCTTGATGCACTGTGTTTGTTCATGTTCACCTTGATGCACTATGCCTGTTCATGTTCACCTTGATACACTATGTTTGTCCATGTTCACCTTGACTCACTATGCCTGTCAAGTGCCCACATAGTTATTTCAATGTGGAATGAGGTTATGTACTATTGGTTAAGACCAGTTAATACTATTTCTTTGAGTTCAAGTGGCTTATTTTAAGGACCTGTCTCCCTGATCAGTGTCAGAGAGGCTAAATACCCATTTAGCTTATAAAATATTTCTTATGAAGAAAACCCAAATGTGCAATGTCTTTTTTATTATGGTATGTTTCTGTTTAGATACAAAGGAACACAGAAAATGGTATTCTATAAGAAATCTCTCCACAGGTCCATTTACTTTCTGAGCATTTAAACTACATGAAAAAGCCTTCAAATACTTGATGTCATGTCTGAAAATATAAAATTGTAAATTAGGTAAATCTAATATAGTAGTAACAAGAAATGCAAAAAGCACATGAGAAATCTAATCTAGAGTTTAAGTTGTCACACATTTCATATAATTGGTAAATATTATTTAAATATCAACTCTTAACTAATAGAAGTCAATTACCGTAATCAATTTTAATACACCAAATATTTATAACTTAAGATATATGTATAGGCCAGGCGCAATGGCTCACACCTGTAATCACAGCACTCTGGGAGCCAAGGTGGGCCAATCACTTGAGGTAAGGAGTTCGATACCAGCCTGGCCAATATGGTGAAACCCCATCTCTACTAAAAATACAAAAAATGGACCAGGCGCCGTGGCTCACGCCTGTAATCCCAGCACTTTGGAAGGCCGAGGTGGCAGATTACTTGAGGCCAGGAATTCGAGACCAGCCTGGTCAACACGGTGAAACCCCGTCTCTACTAAAAATACAAAAATTAGCCGGGCGTGGTGGCGCTTGCCTGTAATTCCAGCTACTCGGGAGGCTGAGTCAGGAGAATGGCTTGAACCTGGGAAGGGAAGGTTGCAGTGAGCGGAGACGGCGCCACAGTACTCCATCTTGGGTGACAGAGTGAGACTCCATCTCGGGAAAAAAAAAAAAAAAAAAAAAAAAGCCAGGCGTGGTGGTGGGCGCCTGTAATCCCAGCTACTTAAGAGGCTGAGGCACGAGAACAGCTTTAACTCGGGAGGTAGAGGTTGCAGTGAGCTGAGATAGTGCCACTGCACTCCAGGTTGGGCGATAGAGGCTCAGTCTCAAAAAAAAAAAAAAAAAAAAGAGAGGGATATAAAGGATTTTTTGCTAAAATTGTTGATCTTATGTATTGTGAATGCCCATTAAGTTGTTCCTGAAAATATTAGTAACTAAGTGAATAAGCTCATCATAAATTATCATAAGTTATCTGGCCAGTGTTTTACAGCATGAAAACTAGTCCTTTTTAGAATAAGCAGCCTGAAAATGAAATGACAATAAATAAAAGTGTACAAATTTTAGACTATTCATGTCAACTCTGACATGAGTAGGCGTGAGTAGCAATAATGATCATCTGCTCAAACCAAGCATAGTGTTTTATTTTCTGATTTAAATGACTAAAACCCTAGTCAATCCTTTGTCATCTGTAGATGACAAAGAACCTTAAACATCAAGTATGCCTGATAACATAATAATACATCCTAATGTCTCAGGTGACACAAAATCAACCTGTTTTTCAGATGGAAAGAAGCTGCCATGTTACATTTTCTTGTCTAGTAAGCAACCTCAAATAATACAATTTTTATTTGTCAATTTAAAAAAAGTTTAAAAAACAAACAAATGAAAAAATCTGAATGTAAAAAGGGATGTCATATTTATACATACTGTTACTTAAATAGTCCTATCTTAAGTGAAAACATTTACCCTCACGTCTTGATAACACAAATAAATAGAGAGGTGAAAATGGGTAGTATGTTAGCTATCATTATTTTCACCTATTTATTTGTGTTATCCAGATGTGAGGGTAAATGTTTTAAGATAGGACTATTTAAGTAACAGTATGTATAAAGGTGCACTTTTGTGTAGGTTTTATATATTATTTTACTTTTACAACAAACTTTGGGAAAATAATCATTATGCTAACTGCGTTGGCAGTTAAGGAAACTGAGAGGCATATATGCCATGCAGCCAGAGGATACGACAGCTATAATTCAGACTGAGAATACCTGACTTTATATTCACTGCTCTTAACACTTAGCTCTACTCTCAAACAGAATTTTGGTTTCTATAAGGAAGCACTGTGAATGATTTTTGTAAATTGTCTCAATGATTGATTCAAATATCTGATTTAAATTGAATCTTCCTATTGAGAAACTAATTTTTGATGATCACTATGGACCATTAATGTAACGATTAATAGAGAGGTCTCTTCAAGGACCCCAGAGCCTAGAGCAATACCTTGGTGCAAATGTCAAAAATAAGCATATCTGCCAACAAAAACACAAACACCAAAGAAAAAATAGATCAGTAGGACCTCATTAAATTAAAATGTTTATGCTTCAAAGGACAACATATATATATATATATAATGAAAGTAGGTGAAAGTCATAATGATTTTACTGAGGTGCAGTTTTATATACATTGGCTTACTTAACCATTACCTAATTTTCTGGTACACTGGTGGTGTGACTACTGTTAAAGGGAAAGAAAAAGAGGAAAAAGAAGGGGTCACACTCACCACTATAACAAATTTGCATAACTGATTTGACTTTTGCCAAAAAAAGTGAAAATAAGTACCTTTATTACTCCTATATGATAACTGAGAAAACTAGAAGTCAGAAATACTAAACAATTTGCTCCAGGTTAATTTTCTGATAGGGTGGAATCATGGCAGTTAGTAAATCAATTGTAACTTCTCAACCATTCCTCTTGAATTTCATACTTACACCATTACATTTATTTAATTTTGTTTTTTACTGTGGAAATGACATTTTAAAAGGGAAGAAAATTGTCTTTATAGAAATAACTTTTATCAGTGTAATAAAATATTATTATAAGCAGCTATACTTCTTTTTAATTATTTTACATTTTGCCCACTTAGTCAATAGATACGTGTTGAAGATTCTGTTTTGGCTGTTGCCTGGTCATTAAGGCTGTAAGGTACTGAGTCCAGAAGCCCCTAATCCGGTGGAGTTGGTGGGAAAAAAATGTTAATGACATAACCACACTATTAGAGATGAAAGGTGCTGCGATAGGGAATCACCAGGAAGAAAACAGGGTTCTCAAATGGAGAAATCCAATTGGGACCTTCCTCTGCTTCATACCCTCCCTAGGCTCCCCATCACTCTCCTGCAAGCTTTGCTCACAGCCTGTCCTGGCGGTCTTGCTCACCACATCCAAAACCTATGACTATGGAGCTTTCTCTCTGTCTCTGTGTCTCTCTTAGTAGTTTTATTAGAGAAAATAATTCACATCCCATAACATTTACCCATTTAAAGTGTACAACTTACAGACACAAAAATGTGTATGCAATCTAGTAAGTGCGACATGTTAGCCATGATTATTATAACCTCTATATTTATTTGTATAATTTAGATGTAAGCATAGTGTTTCATTTAAATTTAAGTTACAAAAGATTAAGAAATAATATTTACACAGTTGTGCAATTATCACTGCAGTCAATTTTAGAACATTTTCATCACCCCTAAAAGAAAACATATACTCACCAGCAGTCGCCTCCTTTTTTCTCAACCTCACCCCACCAGTCCTAGCAAAGCAGCCATCTGCTTCCTATCTCTAAGAATTTGCCTATTCTGAACATTTCATGCAAATAGGATCATACATTATGTGGTCCTTTGTGACTGACTTTCTCCGTTAAGCACATTGTTCTCAAAGTTAATCTATATTATAAGAAGCATCAGTACTTTGTTCCTTCTTATGATTGATATTTTATTATTCATATATACACATGACATACCTGTTTATACATTCCTGTGTTGATGGATATTTATTCTTTCCCACATTTTGGGTTATAGGAAATAATGCTGCTATGAACATTTGTGTACAAGTATGTGTGTGGCCATATGCCTTCATTTCTCTATGGCAGCAGTCCCTAACCTTTTTGGCACCGGGGACCGGTTTTGTGGAAGACAACGTTCCACAGATGGAACTATTCTACCTCAGATCATCAGGCGTTAGTCGGATTCTCATAAGGAGCACACAACCTACATCCCTCCCCTGAACATTTCAAAATACGGTTTCTGCTCCTATGAGAATCTAATGCCGCTGCTGATCTGACAGGAGGCGGAGCTCAGGCAGTAAGGCTCCCGGCCACTCATCTGCTGTGCGGCCGGGTTCCTAACAGACCACGGACACATAGCCGTTTGCAGCCGGGAGGTTAGGGACTCCTGCTTACGGTGTATATCTAGAAGCAGGCTAATCGAGTAAGTCTATGTTTTATCTTTTGAGGAATTACCCCACTGTGCTTTAAAGTGACTGCACCATTTTACATTTCCTCCTGCAGTGTATATAAAAGTTTAATTTCTTCACAATATACTAACATTTGTAATTATCTGTATTTTTAAAATTACAGCTATCCCAGTGAGTGTGAAGTGATATCTCACGGGTTTGATTTCTTTCTTTCTTTCTTTCTTTTTTTTTTTTTGAGACGGAGTCTCGCTCTCTCCCCCAGGCTGGAGTGCAGAGGCGCAATCTCGGCTCACTGCAAGCTCCGCCTCCCGGGTTCCCGCCATTCTTCTGCCTCAGCCTCCTCAGTAGCTGGGACTACAGGCGCCCGCCACCACGCCCGGGTAATTTTTTGTATTTTTTTGGTAGAGACGGGGTTTCACCGTGTTAGCCAGGATGGTCTCCATCTGCTGACCTCGTGCTTGGCCCGCCTTGGCCTCCCAAAGTGCTGGGATTACAGGCATGAGCCGCCGCACCCAGCCGGGTTTGATTTTCATGTCCCAGGTTGACCAACAATGTTCACCATATTTTCACATGCTTTTTGGATATTTGCAAGTCTCCTTTTTGAGTATTGTTTATTCAGCTTGTTTGACCATTTTTAATTGAGGTATTTGTCTTTTCGCTATTGAGTTGCAAGATTTGTTCTACATGATCTAGATAAAAGTCTTGTGTCAAGCATATGACTTGAAAACTTAGTTTCTTTTTTATGTAGATTGCTTTTTTCACTTTATCATGTTGTCCTTTGAAGCATACACATTTGAAATTTAGTGAGGTCCAATTGATCTATTTTTTCTTTGATGTTTGTGTATCCTCTACCCAGTCTCAGGTACTTCTTTATGGAAGTGTGAGAATGAACTAATACATACATAAAATACAAGAGTAAATGGTAGATATAATGATAAAATATGAAAGATTATTATATGTCTCTGTGTGTGTGTGTGTGTGTGTGTGTGTGTGTGTGTGTGTGTATTTTCAAAGATCTGACAGGCAATGGAAAGGAAAAAAAGAACCGTTGATAGCATTTTTCCCGCCAGGCGCATAGCTCGCGCCTGTAATCCCAGCACTTTGGGAGGCCCAGGCGGGCGGATCACGAGGTCAGGCGATCGTCCTGGCTAACACGGTGAAACCCCGTCTCTACTACAAATACAAAACAAACAAACAAACAACAACAACAACAACAAACAGAAAAAAATTAGCCAGGCGTGGTGTCATGTGCCTGTAATCCCAGCTACTCGGGAGGATGAGGCAGGAGAATTGCTTGAACCCGGGAGGCGGTGGTTGCAGTGAGCCGAGATGGCGCCGTTGTACTCTTGCCTGAGCAACAGAGTGAGACTCCGTCTCCACAAAAATAAGAAAAGAAAAAAAAAGAAAAAGAAAAGAAAGTATGTATTTTTCCCTGTATTATGAACCTCTAAGACATTTTCCTACTTTAATATCCTTTAGTAGGAACTTTTGGTTTAAAACTCTGAACATAATCAAGATTATGTTAGGATTCACCTAAAAATATTGTACCAGCAGCAGAAAAATCATAACTATGTTTGTTACCACTTTCATTTTAGTTTTGGTAGATCCAAACATTCCAAGTAGAAGAGTTTTAACAATTAGGTGTTTTGGTATATGAGCACAAACGCATGATTACCTCAATTAAGTGTGTGACTAACTTTAGCTCTATAACTGCTAAAGTATTTATTTTATGTAATCAAAGATAATCATTATTATTTTGAATGTTATTGCTGTTTGACTCTATGTACTACCATATATTAAGACTATATTCTATAACAACGAGGAAGAAATATTGGTATGAGGGTGCCAAAATATTATTTACATATTATTTATGTCAACCATTCAAATACAACCTTTACCTATAATTCACTTATGATTTCTATTTTACTGTTGAGGGGCCCAAATCTTTGAGTGATTAGATGAAATCCCAAAGGCAAGGGATAAATGTATTAAATAATAGTTATGTATTTTTACCAAGACCTCATAAACTTTTCTAAATTATTTAACTCCTGCATGTTATAAACAAGATACACAGACATATACACTGTACAGCTTTCACCCTTAATACATAAGAAGTGATACATTCTTCTCTTGAATAAATAAAATGTATTCTAATTTTATAAAGTTGAATTTTTAATGTAATGTACATTCAGTAATTCTAATTCAGCTTTAGATGTTTTATCTGTATTCAAAGTTCCTGCTGTTTAAAATATTTTGTCTGTAACAAAAGTGTTTTATAAAAGATGTGGGAAGGTTGTCAGAATCACAATGGAGTCATTACTATTAGAAGGAAAAACAAAAATTGACAAGTAGAATCAGGGAAGTCTATGAAGAGAGGGCTCTCACGCCCATATGCCTGAAAATAAAAAACTGTCACAAAAATCACAACCTTGCACAAAGATCACAGCAACCTTAGACATAACAGCGCTTCTGCAAGGACATCTACCCACCAACTGCCTGTCCAACCCTGGGCTGGCATCACCCTCATTAATGATCTTTGTCACCAAGGATAATTATTTCAAAACAATTATGTAATTCTCTATTTTTTCCTTTAAAAACGTTTGTCTTCTTTTAGCTCCTTGAATATGCACATGTATTCCCATTTCAGTGTCCTATGCCTGAATAAACATCATTTTCTATTAGAGAGCTTCTTTCTGTTAGTTATTTAGGTAGACAGATGCTTCATATTGCATAAAAACAAATAAGCCAAAGTTTCATATCACTTGTAACATGATCTCTTTTAGAAATATTTTAACATCTTTTTGTATTTTATTTTTAAGCTGTATATTTTTTCAATATTTGAGATGTTAAGGTTTTTAAAAATATGTGTTGAGCAGATATTTTGCTTGACCTCATCAACATTTCACCAAAAATAAAACTAAGCATTATGAACAAAGCAGAAACTCGGTATGTTCACCAGGATAATTAAACACATCATAGATAAAATAGCTCTTACAAGAATAAAATAAAAAAAAGAATGTCACATAACCTTCTTTCTTATTTCTTCTGTTAATGTAGGTATACAAAAATAAAACAGTGTCGAGAACAAAAAGAACCTCTCAATAAATTACTCTAAATCCTAAGTTAATATGCATTTTACACATTGGATTCATGTTCTATTACTACATAACCAATTACCACAAATGAGATGCCTTACAACAATGTCCATTTATTAGCTCACAGTTCTGTAGGTCAAACTCCACGCAGCTTCCAATGTGCTTAGGAACTCAGAAGGCCACATTCAAGCTGTTGGATGGGTTGGGCTCCTACCTGATAACTTTGGAGAAGAATTTTTTTGGGGCTCCTTCAAACTGTTGGCAGAATTCAGTTGGGTATGTCTGTACTGAGATTGATGTTACTATTATTTCCTTGCTGGCTTTTGACCAGGCGTTGTTCACAGATCCTAAAAGATGCTCTCTGATCTTTGCCTAGGCTTTATCCATCTTCAAACCCAGTAATGGCCCATGGAATGCTTCTCATGCCTCAAATCTCTTTGTCTTCCCATTCTGCTACCTGACTGTAAAGTTCTCACATGAACTGTGCCACAATACACATATCAAAGACTTGGAACCAATCCAAATGCCCATCAATCATAGACTGGATAAAGAAAATATGGTACGTATACACCATGAAATACTATGCAGCCATAAAAAAGGATGAGTTAATGTCCTTTGCAGGGATATGGATGAAGCTGGAAACCATAATTCTCAGCCAACTAACAGAACAGAAAACCAAACACCACATATTCTCACTCAAAAGTGGGAGTTGAACAATCAGAATACATGGACACAGGGAGGGGAACATCACAAACCGGGGCCTGTCGGGGGGTGGGGGGCTAGGGGAGGGACAGCATTAGGAGAAATACCTAATGTACGTGAAGGGTTGATAGGTGCAGCAAACCAGCATGGCACATGTATACCTATGTAACAACACTGCACGTAATGCACATGTACCCCAGAACTTAAAGTATGATAAAAAGGAGATTAAAATATATATATTTACAAAAAAATGTGCTCACATGATTACATTTGGTAACATAATCTCAAGAGTGATATCTCAGCATGTTCACAATTCCGATCCATACTCAAAGTGGAGAGAGTTGTGCAAGAGCAAACGTCATTGAGGGCCATTCCTATTTATTTATTTATTTGTTTATTTATTTATTTTTGAGATGGAGTTTCTCTCTTGTTGCCCAGGCTGGAATGCATTGGGCGATCTTGGCTCGCTGCAACCTCTGACTCCCAGGTTCAAGTGATTCTCCTGCCTCAGCCTCCCGAGTAGCTGGGATTACAAGCATGCACCACTATGCCTGGCTAATTTTGTGTTTTTAGTAGAGACGGGGTTTCACCATGTTGGTCAGGCTAGTGTTGAACTCCCGCCCACAGGTGATCCACCCACCTCAGCCTCCCAAAATACTGGGATTACAGGTCTGAGGCACCATGCCCAGCCAAGGGCCATTCTTAAAATCTAACTACTAATGCACATTTAGAGAGAAAGACAGAAATAGAGCTAAAAATAGAGAAAGAGAGAGGGGTGAGCAAAAATAAATGAATGAATAAATAAATAAATAAATCAAAAGACAGAGAAAGAGGGAGTGAGAAAGAGAGAGAGTGAGACACTCTAGAGAGAGAGTAACAAAGACAGGGTTGGGGAGAGAGGGAAGTGCAAGTAGCCTAGAATATACTATACTCCTGGATAACCAGGGATCCAAGGATCCTTCAGGCATTAGAATATTATATTTCTGGCTGGGCACAGTGGCTCACACCTGTAATCCCAGTACTTTGGGAGGCCAAGGCGGGTGGATCACCTTAGATCAGGAGTTCAAGACCAACCTGGCCAACATGGTGAAACCCCATCTATTAAAAATACAAAAATTAGCCAGGCATGGTGGTGCACGCCTGTAATCCCAGCTACTCCAGAGGGTGAGGCAGAAGAATCACTAGAACCCAGGAGGTGGAGGTTGCAGTGAGCCAAGACTATGTCACTGCACTCCAGCCTGGGCGACAGAGCAAGACTGTGTCTCAAAAAACAAAACAAAACAAAACAAAAAAACAAAAATAATATTGTCTTTCTATTTGGAATGAGTTAATTTTTACTTTTGCATTAAATTATATTTTTATTTCTAATACTTATTCTTTTAAAATAGCCCTATATATATCAAATATTCGTATCTCATGTTTTACAAAACAAATTTAAAATTAAATAAAAATATTAGTAGTCAGAAAATTCATAATTTTATAACTAAATTTTATTTTGTCTTATTTAAGAAAACAAAATGTTCTGTTCTTCTTCTACATAAGTTTGAAGATGTTCTCTTTTGTTTTTTAATGAATACTTTTTTTTTTCTTTTGAGACAGGGTCTTGCTCTGTCACCAAGGCTGCAGCTCAGTGGTACAATCATGGGTCACTGTAGCCTCACACTCCCTGGTTACAGGCATGTGCCACATGTCCAGTTAATTTTTAAAATTTTGTATGCATTCTCCCTATTTTGCCCATGGTAGTCTCAAACTCCTGCACTCCAGTGATCCTCCCGCCTTGGGCTCCCAAATTGCTGGTATTATAGATGTGAGCCACATGTCCTGCCACATACATGATTTTAACTGGTTTTGTAAATTTGATCATACCTGATCTCTTTCCATTTTTTTTTAAAACTAGTATCCATAATTGTTAGCTATTGTCAAAATAATTTTTAATAACATACCACCCCAAAACTCAGTTTCTTAAAACAATTATCTACCAGTTTTACATCTGTTGGTCAGTAGCAATTTAGTGACACTAGCTTGACTGAACTTTCTAGTCTGGGCTTCTGGATCTGCACATTGGGTTCAGATCTGTTCCACATGCCTCACACGATTTCTAAACCTGCTCCTACCCGGGCAATGTACCCTGTCTTTAAATGTGACATTTTATAGCCCAGGATGAGGGGCAATGGCTACCTACAATGTAGTCTTCTCATTGCAGTTTGTTGTAGCCCAATAGGGTGAACCTCTGCTCATGTTACATTTACTGTCAACACAGTGGATGAATTCATTTACGTGGTCAGACCCAAATAGTTAATTAACTGGGTCATACACTCTTCCCATACTGGGTTCATACCAAGGGTGTGAGTATATGAAGCTATTGCAAGTTAGGAAAAAAATGAGATCAATAATTTAATCTATCAAACCATCATTAACTCTTTCAACCAATTCTACCACTTTTGAAAGTTGGCTCTGAACTAAACAGAAATATAATTAATAATGCTCTTAGTCCTGTCTTCCCAGCATGGGCACCTTTTCATTCTTGGGGATATCTTTTCTACTTCCATCAAGTTTCCATGTGTAGTTAGGTTCCCAAACTAATTTGCTTCAAACAGTTTTAACCATACGAAATTTATCCTTCTGTTAATTTATAATACAAAAAAATAGTTTAATGTGCTGTTTTAGGACACTCCTAACAACAGATCAAATTTGATTCCCAAAGAACATTTTCTAGTCATGTTACCATCAGGGGCATCTTAACTAATTTTGAAGGAAGTCTGTAAACTTTATGTAATAGAGTTATTCAAACCTTTCAATTTATTTAAGTTGCCTATAGAGTTTTGAGCATTGGTTAATAAGCATAAAATATTCTTCCAGCAGAATCTTATGTTTAACTTAATGGAATACAAAACCCTATTGAATTATTTGAGGAGTAAGCTCCTTTGCTTTCAGATGTAATTTCTAGAAAATTTATGACGTATATAACTATCTTAACCTTACCATAAAAAATGCTTTTTAAAGCTTTCTCATTGTGTTTTCTCTGTCACTTTCTTTCAATCCTAAAATGACCATTGCATATTTCACAAGACTTTCTCCAGTTGTATGCTGTAACTGATACTTTTCTCCTTAAATAGTTGTGTGTCAAGCCCTGTGTTTTATGCAGATTTATCTCCAAAGGATTCTCAGACCTTTTCCCATGTTCGGTAGT
Source organism: Homo sapiens (assembly GCF_000001405.40). Classification (NCBI taxonomy): domain Eukaryota; kingdom Metazoa; phylum Chordata; class Mammalia; order Primates; family Hominidae; genus Homo; species Homo sapiens. Next base: position 89,156,132 of record NC_000013.11, on the reverse strand, counting down.
TGGCTACATGGATTTTCTTTAATTTACCTGCTTAAATATCCTTAAGCACCAGATCCTTTCTTAAAACCTTTCATATTTTTTGAATAATTAGGCATGTAATCATAATTTGTCATTGCATTAAGATCTAAAAAATTTAACTAACATCCATGAAGTGGGTAGGTCTAATGTCAGAATAGATGTCTAAATAATTTTGTTAAGAGGTGAAAAAAGCCTCTCTTCTTGCTAATAGTGTGGCTAGAATATCCTCTAAATATCTCATTACTCTACAATATTGTGTCTTTAAGGTATTAATTTCTGTCCCATAAGGATTAAATGTTATGGTTTTTTTTTTTCATTTGTTATCCCTGCTGTGTGAATTAGAGTAGGAAAATGAATTAATGTAGTATGAAAATATCACTGCTGCAAGCTATTAACAAATTTTTATTATTCTTTATTCATTTTCCTACTCTAATTCAGTTTTCCAAGCATAGAAATGATTCTTTGACTTAAAAGCTTTAATTTCAAATGCAGATACAAGGGAGAAAAGAATAACAATAGAAACCTAATAGCAGTTTCTCTTTTTCTTACTTCTGCAATTCTTCGGGGTGAATGGGTAGGATAATGGGAAATGATTACTTTTATTAAGAAGGCTAGATAATGATTTAGATGAAAAAACAAAGCAGTTCTCTTAGTCATAAAAATATATCAGAGATCTAATGGTTTTGTCCTTAGCTCTCATATATAGTAGGCATATGCTTTTCTCTTACAAAAAAATTTTTTTTTTTTTTTTTTTTTTTTTGTGATGGAGTCTTGCTCTGTCGCCCAGGCTGCAGTGCAGTGGCGTGATCTCGGCTCACTGCAAGCTCCGCCTCCTGGGTTCACGCCATTCTCCTGCCTCAGCCTCCCGAGTAGCTGGGACTACAGGTGCCCGCTACCACGCCTGGCTAATTTTTTGTATTTTTTTGATAGAGACGGGGTTTCACCGTGTTAGCCAGGATGGTCTCGATCACCTGACCTCGTGATCCACCTGCCTCGGCCTCCCAAAGTGCTGGGATTACAGGCGTGAGCCACCGCGCCCGGCCTTCTCTTACAATTTTTTGTATGACAAAAGCCAGTAAATTGAGATGTTTTTTCTTATTGTCTGTGTATATTTTATCCTTACGGTTTCTTAGAGAATTATCATTCAATGAAGTAGAAGAACCATGCTTTCTCTCTGCATGTATTTGAAAAAAAAAATGCTGTTAACGAAACACATGTGAAAGATAAGGCTAATGTTATTCCATAATTTCACTAAAGTTTATTAGAATAATTGCAGATAGCAAATGTTATTTTTTGAGGGATGATAAATGAAAGGTAAGTAAAGTTATATAGACTCACCTAAAGTCACATAGCAGAGCTGTATCTACAACTTAGAACACCAGGTCTTTCTTCCAAAATAATTTCTACTTCCACTGACCACCATGATATAAAAATATGATAAATAAATCAAATTAAAACTATGCATTCTATGTATCATAAGAAATATATTTTCATATAGATATTTTTAGCACTTTATTCATTTATTTCACAATCTATTCTATCAGAGTCTGTCGTCAAGACACTAAGATATAAATACCTGATAAAGGAAAGTTTCTCCTGTCATGAAGCTTATATTTGAGTGAGAAAAATACAGAAAGTATAGACCGAACAAATAATTAAACATAATATATTTACATATTGATATCTTCACTGGGGAAAACTAATTTAAAACAATGTAGATTTATGAAAGAATGCATTTTCACGAGCATTGTTAGTGGAAAGCACTAACGGGATATTTGAAATTGGATTTAAATGATAAAATTGGGGAGGTTAAATAAGATTATTTGGAAAAAGAGACTAACAGACAAAAATGAATAGCTAATAGATTATACTTGGCTACAGTACCTAGAATGCTGACTAACATAGTAAATATTGTGGGTTAAGTAAAGGGAAAGCTTAAGAATGATTCTATGTTGTTAGTTTTACCAAATAGACTAGTGCCATGTATTTTTGTTTTGTTTTGTTTTGTTTTATGAGACCGAGTCTCACTCTGTCTCCCAGGCTGGGGTGCGGTGGCAGGATCTCTGCTCACTGCAACTGTCGTCTCCCAGGTTCAAGCGATTCTCATGCCTCAGCCTCCTGAGTAGCTGGGACTACAGGCGCCTGCCACCACATCTGGCTAATTTTTGTATTTTTAGTAGAGATGGGGTTTCACCATGTTGGCCAGGCTGGGCTTGAACTACTGGCCTCAAGTGATCCGCCAGGAGGGAGGATTAAGAAGAAATCAATCAGAGCTTCTAGAATTGAAAAACTCACTTAAGGAATTTCAAAAAACATTTGAAAGCTTTTACATAGTTTGGTTATTTCACCTGTGATGGCTTTATATTTTGTCAATTTGGTTAGGCTAAAGTAAGCTTCCTAGAACTCCTTTTTCTTTAAGTGTTTGCTTAGGGCAGGCTTGAATTGAGAAAAGATTATAAAGTTCATGATTAAACCTATAAAGTCATGACAGGTGGAAGCCAGGCTAGTATTGTGTTTTGAAAGCAAAATACATTTCTCAGCTTCTCAGAAATACAAATTTGTCAAATGCTATTGTAAAGCCAAACATACTTAAATATTTTTTCTTATGTAGGAAAAACTTGCTGTGAATATTAATAAAATAATTGAATGGTTCCTTGAATTCAACATGGGGTTGAGAAAAGAATTTTTTTATCAATGGGAAATGAGAGAATGTGATTTTATACTTACAGAATTTATGCAGTAGAGACAGAAAAAAGGATACTGAAAAATGAATTGTTTTAATAGTCAAATACTCTGGAAGGAGAGGTAAATATGTGGTTTATGAGAGAAAAGAGCCTCCCTAAGTCAGAAGCACAGTGTACACTGTAAAAATCCATACAGTGATATGTTCATGCTAAAAGATGAGAGAAATCCTATATAATTGTGATTATATTTTTTCAACTTCTTTCAGTGATTCAATAAATATATTTTTGACTAAGCTCTGGGTAGAAAAAAAGTAAAAATAAAATCACACAAATTTCATGTGGCTTAAATTCTTTTGTATTGAAGGAGACATACAATGAAAATAGTATTAATACTTAATACTAAGGAGACATACAATAAAAGTAGTATTGAATGCTCATTGAGCCTGTGGTATGTGTTATAAAAGAAAATACATTTCAGTTGCAAGGACAGTGATGAGTGCTATTTTATATATTATGGTCAAAGAAGACCACTCAGTGGAGATGACATTTGAACAAAAATGAATGAAATGAGAAACAGGCCACATGATATTTTGAGACAGCATTTAAAGAGATAAAGCATCAAGTACAAAGACACTGAGTACCTCTTAGTGTGCTTCAAAATTTGAATTGTGGCTGAAGTAGAAAGGGAGTGAAAAAGATTTGCAGAAAATGAGATCAGAGAGGGGGCATGGAGACAATTCATTCAGCATCTTACAGTCATGTAATTAAGTGTGCATTTTAGCATAAATGTGATAGGAATGGAAAAAAGACTTTGAGTAAAATTGTGAAACACTTTATAGTATATTTAATAAAAAAAATAACCATTAATAAGAATGGTCTTTAAGAAGGAAAAGGTGAGAGTCAGGTGAATGGTTACAGAATTCAGGTCTGGTTACTTTACTAGATAAAGCAGCTATATATGGAGAAAGTGTGAAATATAATGTCCATGCAAAGGAATTTTTGTTTGGAAGGAAGAGTGACACCCAATTGAGTGATTTAAAGCATAGGGAAGGAAGGGTAGATTTAGGCATGTTATCTGCTTTTTGGGTTTGAAGAGTGACTAAATTTTCCAGTTTCACATTCTTTTTTCACTACAATAATTAATAAGGCCTCTTTTCATTTTCAAAAGTATCTAAAATAGTAATTATACAAACATCCAAAGTTAAGAGTGAAGGTAGACATTCAATCTCAATAACCACCAATTATTCTTATGTAAAAGGAGGCCAAAATATCCCATGATGACATGTGTTGTGCTGTGTGTATGGGGTGGGGTTTTTGTGGAGAGCTGTATTTTGAAAGAAGGAATAAGGATCCTTGGTAAGATTTTGGAATAACTTTGGGGTAATGGGACAGGGCTATATATATATCATGGAGTGAGAGAAAGAAGGAGAGAGTGTGTCTGTGTTTAAGTGTAGTTTTAAAATCCTTGATGTAATATATAATCATAACCAGATATATGGCTCTTATATCTGAAAGTTTACCTTGTTAGTGAAAGTCTAATTTCAAACTCTTGGTAGCAAGTATATTCTTTCCAAAGTAATTACTTTTGTGAAATTCTAAAAATGTATTATTGTAATGGCCTGATAGCATAAATGAGTTCACTTTTTATTACATATACATATATTATACGTGTGTGTATTTCTAAATATACATGTGGGTATGTTAAAATATATATATTTCTGAAATTGTGTGTGTGTTTGTATTCTGCAATTGTGTTAGGTACCCTGTTACATAAACACTTGAAGTAGAAAATCTTACAATTCTTCAATGATCAGTTTAGGAAGATTCTTGAATTTTTACTGGTTTATTTTCTATTGTAATCACCTTTAATATTATTTCCAACATTAAAATACATAATAAAAAATTAAATGTTATCTATCATTTAAATTAGTACATTCACATATCAACATTGTATGTAGTGTTTATTCTTGTAACTGCTGAAAGAAGGAAGAGTAAATATAAGGCCACATATAGCGAAATTCTATTTGGTATAAAAGTTTAGATTTATTGTTGCATTTTCAAGTGTATATTGGTGGCATCTGCTGGTGCATATATAATTAATTTTGTGCTCATAGTGAAGTAGCTGGAGGAAAACAATCTGCAGACTCAACTATGCAGTAAAATATACCTTATAAATATCAAAGACAGAAGTTAAGTCAAAATCAACAATAAATAAGCTTTTCCTTAATTGACTACATAATAAGGCTACTACGTTTTTTAGCCAATATTTCTTAAAAATAGTTAACATTATTTTTTGTGATTGCCTTATCACAAAAGTGATAAGTATATCAAAATACTCAGAATCACAAGAGAGGTTCTTATTCAAATGGGAAAGTGATTTGCAAAAACAAAATGCTTTTGGAAAAATATCTCTTTTGGGAGCAAATTAAATGTGATATTAAAGTAACAAAAGCAAAAATAATTCCAGGAAATTATACTTAAAATTTGCCATACTTACTATAAAGGGTTTAGTATGAACACACGTATTTTGTTAATAATAAACTAACTGGCATGCCCTGTTTGAATACTGGAAAATGATTTTTAAAATACAAAACATTTCAGTAGTATATCTTCTTAAATTTCTGCTTAAGAAATTTGTTATCCTCATAACTATATTGCCGAAGTGGAAGATATGTATTTTATTAGAGATATAACCAACACTCTAGGATATATAAGACATTTCCATCCAACTCTTGTCATTTTCACAGTACCCTTGAAAAACAGCACAAGAGCAGTAGCTGTGAAAAACAGCAGCATAGCAACCACTGGAATCAGGAGAAGATTGTGTGCAGAGCAGATCTGGAGCTCTTCCAAAAGTCTTATCAGAGTATTGCCAACATTTGAGCAATACAGCTGCTCTCTGGAAAAGTTTCTTTTAGAGGGTTTGTCTTTATTTGATGTGACTCAGAGTTGGCTAAGTAAGAAAAATCCTATTTCCAGCTTGTTTGTCAAATAAATCAGTTGCTATTGTTTAATATCACAGTTGCCTTAGTCTGTGATACTGGATGAAATAAAGAGGAGACTAGACAAAAATGTAAAAACAAAATCTGGGAAATAATGTAAATCTAGTTAGTGTTCAAAAGCTCTAACATGTTCCTTGGGATCTAGAAAGCCATGGGCATGTGCAAGAGTTTTCATTGCCCATGAAAAACCAACAATGTCTGAAAACTTTTTCTATTTGTCTAACTTTAATGCTCTATGTTAGTAGGAAGTGAAGGCTAAGGCAGAGATATAAAGTGTCAGAAAATCAAAAGCATGTCTCAACACCCCAATAAACATTCAAAGTTGCTTGGCAAAAGGTGAGAGACATATTGGTTCAAGACTTTGAAGAACATCTTTTGAAAACTATTAGCTGGTCACTATTCTGAGCAGTGACTGGTTTATAGAATTCATCCAGAAAATTATCTAAACAAATGGCTACTATAACAACAACATACACTGAGGATATAAGAACAGATTTCTAGATTTGTGATATTATTTAAAATGTCCAACTTTTAACTAAAATTGATGAGACATGCAAATAAGCCATATGGGGCTGAGATGGTGACAAAATGAAAAAAATTACCAACAACAATAAACAGAAAACAAAGTACATGCAAAGTATCTCCAAGGAAGCTCAAACATTAAACTCAATGAGACAAAACTTTAGAACAGTTATAAATATTTCTGAAGATGTAAGAGAAACCATGCTTAAAGAAGTAGAAAATATATTAAAATAATCTCTCATTAAATAGAGAGTAACAAAGAGATGAGTAACAAAATAGAGAAAAACAGCCAAAGAAACACAGAAATTTTGAAGTTGAAAAATATAATAATTGAAATAAAAAATTCACTGCAGTGGCTCAACAGAAACGAATTGGCAGAAGACAACATCAATACACTTAAAATAAATAGATTGAGATTAAGTACTCTGAGTATCAGATAGAGAAAACAATAAAGAAAAATATGTATCATGACAACATATGTATATAGGGGTCTCATAAAAAAAGGAGGCTAAGAAATGATAGAAAGAATAGAGTTTAAGTAACGTTAGGCAAAAAATCCTAAGTATGATGAAAAACTTCAATCTACACATTCAGTAGTCTCAAAGTACTACAAAAAACATAAAGTTGAAGATATCTATACCTAAGCCATTCTAGTCAAACTGTCAAACATCAAAAACAAAGAGAAATTATTGAAAGCAACAAGAAAAAATGATTGATTTGTTACAATTTATGTTCAAGAAAAATAACAACTTCTTTTCAGAAACCAGAGACCATGTGGCAAACTCAAAGTTCTGAGATGAAAAATACTATCAAAGATTATATTTATGCCCAGTAAAATTATGTTTTAACAATGTGGAGGAAATTAAGACATTATGAGATATATAAAACTGAAAAAAAATATTGCTAGCAGATTGAATTATAAGAAATGCTATTGAGAGCTCTTCAGGCTAAATAAAAACACTAAACATTAACTCAAGTCATATAAACAGATAAAGAACACAAGTAAATGAACTCTATAAGTAAATATAACATAGTACAAATGAATTTTTGTTTGTAACTTTTTACTTTTCTATCTGATCTACAGGCAATTGCATAAGGCAATAATTATAAAATGGTGTTGCCAGGATTATAATGTATATGGTATAATTTAGATGACAATATTACTACAAGGGAGGGAGAAAGAAAAGGAAAGGAAATTTTTGTATTTTGTTGAAATTAAGTTGATATTAATCCGAACTAGGTTATTTTAAGTTAAAATGTTAATTTAGTGCCCAGGACAATAATATAAAAATAATTTTAGAAAGAAGTTGAAAATAAAAATTTTAAATTGTATAGCAGAAAATATCTATTTAATACAAAACATGAAGTAGCCAGGCGCAGAGGCTCTCATCTGTAATTCTAACACTTTGGGAGGATGAAGCAGGATAATCAGTTGAGGCTAAGAATTCAAGACCAGTCTGAGTAACATAGTGACATGCCATCTCTACCAAAAAAAAAAAAAAAAAAAAAATTAATCAATAAAGGAATAGTGGAATAGTAAAAAAATAATATCTTAGGAAAGCAAATAGTAAATTGGCATATACAGTTGACTCTTGAACACAGCAGGTTAGGAGAGCCCATCCCACATGCAGCTGAACATCGACATATAACTTTTTTTTTTTTTTTTTTTTTATACAGAGTTTCGCTATTGTTGCCCAGGCTGGAGTACAGTGGCACGATCTTGGCTCACTGCAACTCTGCCTCCCGGGTTCAAGCAATTCTCCTGCCTCAGCCTCCTGAGTAGCTGGGATTACAGACGCTCACCATCATACCCAGCTAATGTTTTGTATTTTTAGTAGAGACAGGGTTTCATAATGTTGGCCAGGCTGGTCTTGAACTCCTGACCTCAAGTGATCCACCCACCTCGGCCTCCCAAAATGCAGGGATTACAGGCGTAAACCACCATGCCCGGCCCACATATAACTTTTGACTCTCCTAAAACTTAACTACTAATAGCACACTGTTTACCAGAACCCTTAACAAGAATGTAAAGTTGATTAACACATATTTGGAATGTTATATGTATATACACTGCATTCTTAGAATAAAATAAGTTAGAGAAAAACCATGTTATTAAGAAAATCATTAGGAATATAAAATTTATTCACTATTCATTGAGTGGAAGTGGATCATTGCAAAGGTCTTCATCCTTGTCATCTTTACATTGAGTAGGCTGTGGAGGAGGAGGAGGAAGCAAGTTTGGTCTTGCTATCTCAGCGGTGGCAAAGCTAAAAGAAAATCCATGTATAAGAGGATCCATTTAGTTCAAACCCATGTTGTTAAAGGGTTGCTGTATAAAGCACAACTTATTGGTAATTGCATTAAATGTAACTGAATGAAATAATCCAACAAAAGGGCAGAAATTTGCAGATTTAATTTTAAAGGTTATGATCTAACTATGTACTTTCTAGAACAGATGCACATTAGATTAAAAGATATAAATAGATTAAAAGTGAGAAAAGAGGTACTACACAAGAACCAAAATAATTGGAGATATTATCTTAATATTAGCAAATAGTCTTTATATCAAAAATTGTGACTAGAGTCAAATAAATACAATTTATAATGGTAATATATGTCAATCCATTAGGAAGAAATACCATTTATAAACACGTGCATTTAACAAGAGTCCCAAATGTATAAAATAAAAACTAAAATTATTGAAGAGTAAAATAGAAAATTCAACAGAAAGAACTTGAGATTTCCATGTTCTACTTTTAAAAATAGATGAGGAGCTAGGCAGACAATCCAAACAGACATAGACATAGGAAACTTTTACAACATTATAAATTAAATAAGCATGACTAACATCTATAGGACATGCCACCCAACAATAGTATAATGAACATTTTCCTAAAGCACATGTATTATTCTCCAGAATACCACATGCTAGGCCACAAAACAAGCCCCAATACATTTAAGAGGATTTTAACTACACAAAATAAATTCTCCAACAATGGAATCAAAGTATAAATTAATAACAGAAGGAAATATGAAAAATTTATGAACATGAAAACTAAATAATGTAATCCCAGAAAACAATTCAGTCAAAGAAAAATGCAAAAACAAAATAATTGGAAAATATTTTATAATGAATAAAATAAAAGGGCAATGTATTAAAACTTATGGGGTATGGCTAGAAAAGCACTTAGAGGAAAAATGGAGCGTAAATGCCGATATTAAGAAAGATGAAGTATCTCAAATTAGTAACCTAACCTTCGACCTTAAGTCACTGAATTACAAAGAGCAAAATAAGTCAAAATAAACATAAAGAAGAAGAAAATAAAGAATGTAGTAGAAGTAAATGAAATAATCAATAGAGAAGCAATGAGAAAATTGAAAAACAAAACTTGGTTTCTCAAAAAGATAAACAATAAAGGAAAACGTCTAGCTAGATAAATGAAAGGAAAAAAAGAAAAAATAACTTAAATGAATAAAGCCATGAATGAAATAGGGGAAAAACAGCAGAACACACAACAATTCAAAAAACATTATAAGGGAATACTACAAACATATCTATGCCAATAAATGATAAAAGTTAGATTAAATAGACACATTTCTAGAAGAAATAAACTACCAACCTGATTCAAGAAGATATAGAAAATCTAAATACATCAATTAAAAATGAAAAAGATTAAATTAGAAATTTTAAAACTTCCAACAAAGAAATTCTCTGCTTCAGATCATCTAACTGATAATTTCTTTTTTAAAAACCCGTATTTCCTTACTGCAGAAATCAATAATCTGAAAATAAAATTAGAACAACAATTGTATTTACAATAGCAGAAAAAATGAATAAAATATTTAAGAACAAATTTATCAAAAAAACACACAAATTTAACAACAGAAATAATTTAACAAAAGAAAATTAACATCTTTTAAAAGATGTAAATAAATGGAGAGACATCCTAAGTTTTTGGATAAGGAGACAATATTGTGAAGTTTTTAATTCACCTCAAATTAATTCATAGATTTATTACAATATGTATCAGATCCCAGCTGTTTTTATCTGCAGTGATTGCAATGCTAAACCTCAAATCCATATGAAAATTTATGGGGCTCAGAATAGACAAAACATTATTGAAAAAGAAGTGAAAGTTTGGATGACTCATGCTATTGTATTTCAAAACTTATAAAGAGCTACAATAACCAAGAAAGCATAGTACTTGCATATGGAAAGGAAAGTAAATTAATGAAATATTAATAAAAGTTGACAAATTAACAGCGATATTTATGGTCAAGTAATTTTTGACAAGGGTGTGCAATGACTTCCAATACTAACTTCCTGGAGTTAAGCTAAATTTCACAGGTTAAGGCCAGAATCTTCCACAAGACTGTCTTCACCTCACTGGTCTTTCTGGTGTAGACAATTCCCATCCTGAGTCACCTAATTAGCATAAATTAATAGGATTTACCAGGAATAACAGATGCCTCTGTCATTCAGGAAATTCTAAGTATTTAAAGGCTACCTCTCAGAGTCCAAGAACAAACACCAGCCAACCACTTTATTGTAGAGAATTTACAAGACAAGTCAATGAGTTTTTTAAAAACCAATACAAATGATATTGAGAGAAATGAATCTCTACATTCAAAAGAAAGAAGTTGGACCCCTTCCTCACACTGAACACAAAAATTATCTCAAAATGATTCAAATAATTTTATGTGAGCTAAACCTACAGAAATTTTAGAAGAAAACAAAGGAGTGTATCTTCATGACTTTGAATTAGGCAAGGGTTTCTTAGATATAAAGTAGAAGTGACAAAAGAGACAAAAAAAATGCACAACCATTGCCTCATAAGACACCATCAAGAAAGTTAAACCTCAGACTAGAGAGTGGGAAAAAATATCTGTAAATAATATAGCTGATAAGAAACTTGTATCTAGAATCTATAAAGAACTTACAACTCAAAAATATATAATCCAATCAGCAGAGACTCTGAATAGGTCTTTCTCCAAAGACAATGTGCAAACAGCTAAATACATACGAATATGCTTAATATCATTAGCCATCAGAGAAATGCATATCAAAACCATGGTGAGATACCATTTAATACCAAATAGGATGGCTATAATCAAAATAAACAGAAAATACCAAGCATTGAGAAATTTATGAAGAAACTGTAATATTGCAGGTAGGTTCAGCCCCTTAAAAACAGTCTGGTAGTTCCCCAAAAGTTCCAACATGTAGTTACTGTATAACCTAGAAATTCTACTCCTCTGTATGTGTTAAAGATAAATGAAGACATATGTCCAAATACAAACTTGTACATAAATGGCCATAGAAGCATTATTCAGAATAGCAAAAAAGTAAAACATCAATCAACAGATGGAAAAACAAAATGTGATATATCCATACAAGAGAATATTATATAATTATAAAAAGAAGGAAGTTTTGATACATGCTACAACATGAATGGATCTTGAAAACTTTATGCTAAATGGAAGGAGCCAATTGCAAAGGATCACATATTGTATGATTTCATTTATATGGAGTGTCTGGAATAGGCAAATCCATACAGACAATAAGTAGACTTGAAGTTGCCAGGGACTGGGGAGGAGGGCAACAGGACGTAACTGTTCATGGTACAAGGAGTTGTGCAAGGGTGATAAATTTTTTCTAAAATTAGATCATGCTACTTGTTGGACAGCTCTGTTAATATACTAAAAGTAATTTTACAATTTAGTAGGGTAAATTGTTAGGTACATGAGTTACCTCATAAAGCTATTATTAAAGCTTTTACTAATGTGTGTGTGTCTGTGTGTGCATGTGTGTGTGTATGAGAATACATATAGATATATTTGCATTACATCTATACCCAAATAAAATAAGTTGATGTTGAATCCACTATATTAGACAGCTTGAATATTAATTTTCAACAACAAGTGTTAATAATACCCTTGCTGATAAGAAGTCACCTAAATGCATAAACCTATATTAATATGCCTTATATGGCCATCCTTTAGGTAGGCATTGTAGGTTTATGAAAAAGTAGAAGAATTGAAGCAAGGTTTTATTTACTTTAATAATGTCCTGAAACCATGCATCTTGTTTTTGCTTCAATTCTTTTGCCTTCTTCTTGGCTACTATTCTCTGTCATCTTTTCCTGTTGCATTGATATAGCCTTTTATCATTGCTTCTTACTTGACATTAAAATCTCTTCAACAAACACAGGGTTTGTATACTATCTGAATAGAGATGTTTTCTGCATTGCTTTAACTTTCCAACAGAACTGAACTTAAACTTCACAAAGCTTCCAGAAGGCAAAAAAAAAAAAAAAAAAAGAAAAGTTTTGGTGAATTGATCTCATTGTTTTGTTAAATATTAATGTGATGAAATAAATCTGATACATTTTATTTAGTAAAGAATGTTCTGATTTATTTATTCATTTTCTCACTCAAGTATTTGTTTGGATTCTATGAATGATGCATTGTGTGGACTGGGAATAAGTAAATTCTTAACATCTTTATAGTATTAACAGTGAATTGTTCTATGACTGAATTGGAAGTACTGATTATTTTCTTACATTCCACACAGTTATGTGTACACTGGTGAAATGGGTCCATATAAAAAGGGCATGTTGTCTTTGAAATAAAGAATCACAGATATATAGTGAATGAAAAGCAATGGATTTAGTGGGCAGATTACAAATAAAATACAAGAATCCTCACTAGAACTTTACTATCTGACTACATTTAGCAGCCTTTTAAGTCTGAAATGTTTAAAGAATCATGTTTAAAGCAGAGACATATGAAGAGAGGAAATCTTATACTTTATGTATACTGAAAATATGTAAAAAATGAAGACAGTAATTGAATATATTAAAATATGACCATTGACATTAATTATCTAAAGACTAATTTACAGATGGCAAATAATTTGTAAAAAAAAAAAAATCTCAGAAAGCAGGTCAGTTAATCTTTCAGACATAAGTACTGTACCATGTTTGCAATATATGCCAGTCAGCAAGTTGAGGGAAAAGAAAATATAGAATAGTTATATTCACAAAAACAAAGAGTGAAAAGAGAGAGCTAACGCCTTTGAAGACAGGCCAAGTGGGGAATAAGTTTGGCAGAAAATAAATTAACACTCTTTGTTCATGGCTACTGTGCTTGTGCAACTCTCTCCTTGTTAATGATATAGGAGCGAAGTAGTACTTGGTTCAGTTATTCTGATCTCTTGAGGGTCTGAGTAAAATCTTGTCAACTTAAAACTTAATGAACAAAATGTGTATGCTTGACTCCCCAAATATCACCCAAAGGCAGATACACTCAATTTATTTTGTGATTCTTGTGGACAAAAAATTATGTTATTTCTGGTTTTGTTTTTATGTGCCTGTGTACCAATGACTCTGAAGATGGTTTTATTGTAGGAATTTATCCAATTTCAAATTGCTTAGTGATTCATTTTATCTATTTTCTCTATTGTATCTCCTATTGATGATGAAAATATCTATATGTTTGAATTACTAACACATTTTGCAATTTTTTTATTATTTTGTTTGGGAAGCATGCAATTTAGTCTATTGATAATACTCTGATATGGTTTCTCTGTGTCCCCACCCAAATCTCATCTTGAATTGTAGTTCCGATAATCCCCACAGCTTGTGGGAGGGGTACCTGGTGGGAGGAAATTGAATCATGGAGGCAGTTACCCACATGCTGCTTTTCTCATAATAGTGACTGAGTTATCGTGAGATCTGATTGTTTTATAAGGGGCTTTTCTCCCTTTTGCTCAGCACTTCTCCTTCGTGCCATCATGTGAAGAAGGATGTGTTTGCTTCCCCTTCAACCATGATTGTAAGTTTCCTGAGGCCTCCGCAGCCATGCAGAACTGTGAGTCAATTAAACCTCTTTCCTTTCTAAATGACACAGTCTTGGGCAGCCCTTTAGAGCAGTGTAAGAACAGACTAATATATACTCTAACATTAGAATATTTTTTAGGTTTATTGTCAAAAATACTCTTATACATAGCAAGATGTATTTATTTTCTATTCTATAATATTCACATAAAAAGAACACGCTTAGTCCAAAACATAAGTTCTCAATGTTTTTGATTCATTTACATATAAGTTAAAGCCAAATGTAACATAACATGCATGTAAAAGGGTAATTGGTGGCCTACTTTTCAATGACTTGCTAGCCATTCATATGAACACACATAAATAAGATACGAAATATATTTCACCACAACAAGCTCTGTTTTAATAATAGCTTTATATTTCGGTTGTCCAGTGGATGAAACATATATTTCTATCCTCAGATTTTGTAAAAACAATCTATTTAGTAAAATACACATGAGAAACAGAAGACAAAAACCTATCTGAATATCACCTCAAGATATTTAATATGTATTTGACCTCTAACAATGAATGGTTTTCATGAATTTAAGCTATTTATTGAAACAGGTATTATTTTAAAATGCCTCAAAGAAAAATATGTATGAAACCTAACAAATGATAATAATTTTATGTAGAAGAAACAGATGATTGAGTTTGTGCAATCTTATTTTGTTAATTTTGTTTTACATATGTTTCTATATCCTCAGATATAAAGTATAGTGGTTGTATGATATGTTCTGGAAAGGGGAATGTTCAAATCCAGTCTCTGTTACTCTGTTATTTGGGCATATATCATCTGCCTTATAACACCAATTTTCTTATATATAAAATTTGTGTATAATAATATATAACTTATTTCTGATACATAGCAGTTTATTAATATGAACTCTTATATTGTGAATATTGTAAATTTTATTTCTATCATCTCCTTGAGCATATGTGATGCTTCATTACTTTCTATATCCTTAAATTTTAGCAGTGATTTTTTTGCTAGTTGTTCAATAAATGTAAACTGACATTGCTTTGCTAAATATGCCAAATAATGTCCTTGGTATATGTTTTTAAAAATGTACTACAACATCATAAGTGCTTGCTTCCTATGTGACAAAGAAAATCTCTCATAAGTACCTAGGGGCTTTTAAAATGAATTACATGTGAGATATTTAAAAAAAATATCTCTACAGAGATGGAGAGTAGAATGATGGTTATCAGAGGCTGGGTAGGGTAGCAGGGAGGAAAAGATAAAGACAGGCTGGTTAATAGGTACAAAAAAGCAGCTAGATGGGAGGAATATGGTCTAATGTATGGTAGCACTATAGTTAAAAATGTATATTTCAAAATAACTAAAAGTTATTTTGAAGAATTACATTGAATTGAAATGTTCCTAACACTGATAAATAATAAACGTTTGAGGTGATGGATACCCCAATTACCATGATTGGATCATTACACATTGTTAATTTGTATAAAAATATCACATGTACTTCATACATACAACTATTATGTATTTACAATGATTAAATTAAAAAAATTTAAAATAGATGAGAAATTGGGTGCAGTGAAACACATGTGTAATCCCAGCTACTCAGGAGGCTGAAGCAAAAAGATCACTTGCTACCAGGAGTTTGAGGCAGACTTGGCAATAGCAAGACCCCCATCTCTAAAAATATACATAAATAAAATAAAATAATAAATTTAAAAACAGAGTTGTGAAGAAAGAGTTAAAATTGCATCAATAAGTGCAAAATCCCTAACACTTTTACCCTAATTAGAAACTAGGTTGTTTGCCACAGTTTCATGATTGTTGGCAGAAAACATGTGACTCCTGGGTCACAGAAAAAGCATAAATTATTACTTATAACAATACCAGTGCCCAGTTTTTCATATTTGTGCCCAATTCCTGAGCCCCAATTCCCATAGAATGATTCAAGGAAGATTAGTGACACATATACATATGTCAGGTTGTTTCACAGTAAAAACCCTAGTTTATGTAAGTGGAATCATTTATAATAAAGAGCAAGCACAGCTAATGTTTGCTTTTGAGGAAAAGTATCTTACTATACTGTGAATAAGCCTGCCCTTTGTTCCAGAGTGTGCAATTATCTATCTTCACTCATTGCTTACTATATAAATATCTTTAAAATACAGTTTAGGATAGTGGCAGTCACTGTCTCTTTTCATAATTTGTTGCTGTTATTCAAAAATACCTCTTGCAAATGGTAGTACCTTGATGGAAGAAGGCATATACCCAAGTGGATTATATTGGGTATTTACCAGCAGTCTCAAGGGTGGTAACCACTATTAACCCTCTTTTACTCCAGGTTTTCCTTATTTCAAACCCAAGTCTACCTTAGACAATATGATTAAAGATTTTGAACAATGGGTTCATAACTGATATTTATTCTGGGCAAGAAAAACGATGCACTACTACCAATATACAGAAATGGGAAAGTATCTTAGTCCATTCATGCTGCTGTATCAAAATAATACAAGCTTGGTGGCTGATAAACACCAGACATTTATTTCTTACAGTTCTAGAGACTGAGATGTCCACAGTCAAGGGACCAGTAGACTGGGCATCTGGTAAGAACTCACTCTGGTTCACAGATAGCACTTCCTTACTGCATCCTCACAGGGAGAAAATGACCAACAAGCTCCAACAAGCTCCCTCCAGCCTCTTTTATACAGATGCTAATTTCCCTTATAACGGCTCTGCCTTCATTACCTAGTCACCTCCCCAAAGCCCCATCTTTTAATACCTTCGCATTGGGAATTAGATTTCAATGTATGAATATTGGGAGGAATGCAGTCTTTCAGACCATAACTATATATATATAGATATACATATATATGTGTGTGTGTGTGTGTGTATATATATATAGATAGGAAAAATGAATTGTAAGTTTTAAGTTAATCGATTAAATAAATGTATTCTAAAATTGAACATGAAAGGAAGTTAGAGACTCCATTGGACCAAAGGATGGGAATGAGAGTTTGCAAAGGACACATTAGGCAATTGTATTTTTTCCCACCTTACAGAAGTTTTATTTTACCTATATTAGTTTGGTTTTAAATTTGCCTAACAGTTCTGGATATCTGTCGAGAACTGTTAAAGGTAGTAGATGTGGCTAGATGCAGTGGCTGGTTTCTGTAATTCCAGCTGCTTGGGAGATAGAGGCAGTGGGGGGGGCTTGAGGCCAGGAATTGAAGACCAGCAGGGGAAACATTAGCAAGACCATATCTGTGGTCTAAAATAATAAAATAAAACAAAACAAAATAAAATAATACAAATAAAATATAAAATAAAGTGAAATAAAAATCTAGCCAGGCATGGTAGTGCCTGCTTGTAGTCCCAGCTATTCGAGAGGCTGAGGTGAGAGGATTGCTTGAGCCCAAGGAGTCTGAGGTTGCAGTGAGCCGTGATCATGCCACTGCACTCCAGCCTGGGGTAACAAAGTGAGACATCGTCTACAAAAAAAAAAAAAAAGAAAGAAAGAAAGAAAGAAAGAAAGAAAGAAAAGAAAGTAAAAGTGGTCCTAGTTGTCTATTGCATTTTTACTCTACTATGTTGCTTTATCCTGCAGCTAACAAATTAGCCTGCTACAGTTATATGGATGCAGGCATAAGAGATGAGATTCCTGAGTCTAGGGTATAGTACAGTTTATTTCTCATGTTATAAGCAGTAGCCAGAATATCAGCATTGTCTTGGGCCAGTTGTTCAAACTGTAATTTGTATAAGGCGACATACAGAGGGAAAGATGACAAATGCACACACAGTGGGTTGAGTTAAAGAAAAATCCTGAGCTTAGGAAACTCCAAACTTTTTACATGAGTGAAAAATAAACCTAACTTTTTCCCCACAAGAAATATTTTCTTTATTATACTGTAGAAGAAAAAAAACCTACCTCTTGCTCCATGGGAGGACATTATCTCCAATTTTAACGTCCATCTACTAACCATATAATGTCCATCTACTAACCTTAAGAATTTGGTTACATGGTTACTGATGCTTGCACTCACAAGAGGTCTCAAGTAGTACATGATTTCATAATGTTAACCAAATTAAGACTGTGAATGTGGCTTCCTTACCAAGTGGCAGAGACAGTCCTGTGATCTTTCACTTGTCAAAATGTGGACAAATACTAATTATGTAGGCTTGGAAAGGCTGATTATGTGGAAAAAACTGGGGGTTATTAAAACTAGTGACAAATGCAAATAAGAGAGACCATAGCAGAGACAGCAAAGCAGGTTATAAGTGAATTTGAGTTTCAAAATGGGGTCTAATTATTTTCACAGGAATGATTTGGAACAAGAGAGTGAAACTCTAAGGTAAACTATCTCAGATCTATTGCTGATAATGACTAATATTGAAAGACATGTTGACTTGTCTGTGAAGGAAGCAGATTATCCACTGATCTACATGTTCTCTGTATCTGAAGACTCCATATGGATTCTCTGGTGACAACAACCTAAAGAATAATTACATGTCTTAATTTAGGTAACAAGTGACAACTACCATTTGATTGGCAGTGTATAGGCTGTGTTTTCCATTCTGCTTAAATTTTCACATGCCCTGAGAAAATTATTATCAACCAATAGATTACAGCATAAGAAGGTTTAATCACAAACTTCTACACTCTGTGTGGACATAAACTAAGACAGTACATTGCTAAGACAGTGTCCTGTGTGCAGTATAAAACAAGTTATGAGTATCAAGTTTAGTTATATCACAGCCGTATACACACTTCTTTTGTGAAATGTGAATGTCAATGGGATTCATTTAAGGAAATATACATTTAACTCAGACATCCTTGAGTGGATTTAGGTGAAACTTGGTGGCCTGAATATTGCATATAAGGGACTTCTAGAAAGACACAAAGGACATTAATGTAAACTACCTGGCATAATAAGACAAAGGGGTATTTGGGAGTGGAATATCTGAAACTGTCAGTCTCATGGGACACATACTGTTTCTGAATACAGTCCGTTTTCCTAATGGCATGATTTTTGTTAACATTCAATGGAAATTACAAATATGGTGACTTGTTTTGCACTGGTCCCAAATTGCCTTTTGTTTTTCTTTTTTTCTTTTTTTTTCTGGAGGATGTTAGAAACTGGTCTGAAAGTTCTGAGTCAGACCAAAACAATGTGCTTGGAGGCTTACTCTCATGATAAAAAAGACTTGCTAACCCAAAAAGGTACATAAAATAAGCAAAAATGAAAAAAAATTAAAACATTCCCCAACAGAATACAGACTATTTCTGGAAATAGAGAGAGAAAAAAAAAGTATAATTGGGCTGGGTGTGGTGGCTCACGCCTGTAATCTCAGAACTCTTGGAGGCCGAGGTGGGTGGATCACCTGAGGTCAGGAGTATGAGACCATCCTGGCCAACATGGGGAAACCCCATCTTTACTAAAAATACAAATATTAGCTGGGTGTGGTGGTGCATGCCTGTAGTCTCAGCTACTGAGGAGGCTGAGGCAGGAGAATCATCTGATCCCAGGAGGCATAGCCTGTAGTGAGCAAGATTGTGCCCCTGCACTCCAGCCTGGGTGACAGAGTAATACTCTGTCTCAAAGAAAAAAAAAAAAAAAAAAGGATAATTAAGCATAATTGCATGACTAACTGAATACTGAGTTAAACATAGTGGCACACTGTTGAGCAATGCAGAGAGTAGACGTATGGTATATATTCATTCAACAACAACTATTGAACATTCAAATCAGATTAGAATTGCCTATCATTAAAAATCAGAGGTTGCATATAGTAGAGAATGAGGCCATACAAATAAGTTTGTGGAAAAATTAGGATAAATAATTAGGATTTTATTAGAAATTCTACCTTTTATTTTTGTTCTTTAGTGATCTAGTTTCTAGAGATAACAGAGAATTTAAAGTTCTTGTTGTGCAATCAGTTGAGTTTGGAAACACAAATAAGCCAAACCTGGTGATCCCTAATGGGGTGGGGGTGATAGGAAGTGTCACCTAATGACACCTAGAAGCTTCTGAATGTAAAAACCTGTTGTATGTATCTGAAGTATTGCTATGTTCACAAACCAGGCAGAATATGTAAATAGCTGAACAATGGCTTCTAGTTAGCCATTGTCATTTGGAATATGTAGTACATGGGGAAAGTTTATTTCTGTCGGAAGAGAATGAAAACTGGTACTACAATTGTAATTGATTTATGGTGTGCCAAACATAAATTTAATCTCTCAGACATAGCTAAGTAATGTAGCAAAGGGTTGCAACCTCACAGACAGAATTAAGTGAAAATGAATATTACATAATATTTATTCCCAAGATAAGAAAATATTTTAGAAGCTTTGATGGAGGCAGGCTTGAGGTAATACCTATAGAAAACAATGGACAGAAGATAAAATGTCTCTAACTTTGCATACATTACAAACTCTAATATATATTCATAGACATATATATATATACATCCACACATATAGCCTATTAAAATAATTGATGAAGAAAAAGAGCAACTGAGATGGTTAGACAGTCAAAGAGTTCTCAAAAATATCTGAAAGTACAGAATGTTGATTAACATACAAATGACTTCATATTCTCCATTGAATAGCCCAAATCCTGGTGACCTTTGAGATTTTGTTTTGTTCTTTCTTTGGAATATTGCAGAAAATATTGTAAGAAAAATAAAGAACAGATATCTGAGAAATATGCTCTAAGAATATAGTGATCAAATTCAAAAAGTAGACTGGAAAGAAAAGTGTTAGTTTTTCAGTGATCCATTTCTTCCCTAAATAGTAGGAGCACATTTTAAAAGAAACAAGGCAGGAGACCAGGTCTAATTTTTTTTTTGTGTGTGTGTGTGCAAAGATGCTAACAGTTGGCCTCCTTATAAGTATTATTTGATATTGTTAGGAGGTAAATCTATATTTATGTCTTTTATAAAGTATATATATTATATCTTGGAAAGATGCTCCTGAGTTTAGCTTTGTTTATGGTAAATAAACCTACTATCTACAGATTTATTAGCCACCGCTTCCTGAAAATATCATGTAAGCCCTTACATGGACTGGATATAAAATGAGGATGTTTAAATTACCTAAACTCTCCCCACTGTATGATGTGGTAAGTCAATCTTACTTAGAGGTCTCATTTTATCCTCTGGTCAGAGATCACGTCAGATTTATAGAGCTTGATCCTGGGGGTTCACAAACGATGTCACAGAACTCTCCTGCTTTCTCGTGCTTCCAGATTTCTTGTGTCCTTGAAATTATGTAAAATTTAACACAAAATTTGTAAGATTTTTCCAAGGTATTTAAGAAAATTATGTAATATCTCATTACAACCTTCAAATGAAATGAGACACAAACAATCTCAGGCAAAGAAAGTGTGGTCATTTACAAGGAAAGAGCAGGAATCACCTACAGAAATGTGGCATGTATGTAGTAATAGGTATGACTGGTTCTTAAAATATGCCTCCTTCATTTATCAGTAAAGTTATAACAAATTTGTCAGATTTATTGTGCATTATATTAAGGTTGGTATGGTGATCTTCTATAAAATCAATAAAGTTCATTTTTCAGTGCATTATGAATGGAGTTACTCAGCATTTCTGTCAGGCTCCGCCCCATTAATCTCACACCAGTTTTCCAACATCACCATAACTGCCCAGTAATGACTGCAGCTTGTGGCTCCAAGTCCTGTGGTAATCCTCACTGGGACATAAATACATCAGTATTAAATGGTTTGTCTTGAAACAACCCTTGCTGTGAAAAAATATAGTGTTTGATGATCTGTATGGACCCACATTTCTTCCTGGTCACATGTCTTCCTGGTCAAAACTCTGATGGGTTGGTCTCATCAATGGTCAACTGTGGTTCTCTAATGAGTGCTTAATTCACATCTACAACTGAGTTCTATTCTGATCCTTTGGGTATCTCTCTTGGAAACTTTTTACAAGAAAAAAATGGCTCAATTTTGCTAGAATTTGCCACTTTCATGTCAGTTTCATTGTGTTACTGGATACCTATTAAAGGGATAAATAAATTAGCTGAAGTTGATTGTCCCTAATTAATTAAACATTCCTAAAATCTGTTTTTATATCTACTTGTTACCATTTCCATAGAAGAATCTATGAAGTCTTTTCCAAGTCATATGAGAATGTGCTGTTCCTCACTCAGCCCTGTCTCCAGTAGATACCAATCTAAAATATGCCCTTGGCTGAAATTGGATATGATTTTACTCTCCCGTTTCACATCTCCTTACTAGCACTGTGCTTGTTCAAGGGTGTCTCCTGCTGTATTTGGACCCATAGTTTCTAGATAAAAGCCCATTAGTTTCATTATATCCTTACCTTGGGCACCAGAGAGTATCTGAGAATAAGAGTCTGAAATGGCTTGGGGTATTTCCTGCCAAGTCTGCAGAGCTATACCTTCCCTCTGGTATCTGGAACTAGTTCTTAAGCTTAAAGATGCAAGCATTTTTGCAGTTCCAAGGCCAGTCTCAACTTCTGTTGTGACTGAGTAACAGGCCAATCTTGCAGGGGAATAATAATACATGGTTACATTGTTGCAGTGGCAAGACATCTATGCTGCTGTTGTAACTCTCAAAACTTGGACAAAATGTACTGGGATTTAGTGATAAAAAAGTATTCTGTAAAAATAGGACAGGTGTATGCAGTGAATCTCCAGAATATCTAGTCACTAACTTTGGATGCCAGGCTACTAGGGACTCATGAAATATATACTGATATTAACCACAGAAGTTCCAAGTATTTATTGACCAGGAAGGAGAAGTATGTTGTAATATATTTACATAAATTAGCTGTCTGGAGGATCATATATCACACGGTTTAGAAGAACAACTTGTTATTCTAACACCTTACTTCCTTATGTAATATAAGTTTTTTAATGCAAAACAAAAGGCTAAGATAGGGACGATAAATCTTAGCAATTTACTTTTGAGAGAACTTCTAAGAACTGTTTTTCTGTTGTTTTGTGTAGAGTGAATTATAATCACTAAATGTTACATGAGTTTCAGCAAATGATACCAAGGATGGAGCATTCAGATTTCAAACTATTACTGGAAAACAGCGACATATGATTTTGCTACCATTTTCTGAAAATGTCTCTTCAAAAACATAGTAGTAGACCATATACTTGTATGTGAGAAATATCATATCAAACTAAATTTTACTGATTGCTAATTAAAATTTTAATGAAAGTTACATGAAAGTATGAGATAACTAAGTTTAGAAATGCCTAGGGATTAATTTCAAATGAAACATTAATTTCATTCATATGAAACCCATAAATAAACTCTTGAGTTTACATAAAAATAATCTAAATCTCTAAAACTCAAAAATCTTTAGCATAAACATGGACTAAAAATTTAGTGTATTTCACATGAGAAACATAAATAAGCTTTCTAGCTTGTTTAGCCGTGATTGAATTTGAGTGAAGCTACATTAGAAATATGCCAAAGAATATTAAGATGAGAAAATGTAAAGCCTTTTTGTGCATGTTATTTTATATATATATATATAAATTTCAAGAAAATAATTTTAAATAATTCAAAATAATATTCAGCATCTGTTTAGAGTGGGAGAAAATCATATAGTATACTCAGATTGTTAAAGGTCAGATTTAGAGTTATGTTATAGTCTGATTAGTTACTGCATGAAAGCAGCTTGATAAATATTTAGTAGGATATTAGTTTTGAAAGATGATTAACTTAGAGAAAAGTAATTGAGCACACCACTACAAGTTAATATTTTTATTTATTTATTTATTTTTTGAGATGGAGTCTCGCTCTGTTGCCCACGCTGGAGTGCAGTGGCACAATCTTGGCTCACTGCAAGCTCCACCTCCTGGGTTCACGCCATTCTCCTGCCTCAGCCTCCCCAGTAGCTGGGACTACAGGCGCCCGCCACCACGCCTGGCTAATTTTTTGTATTTTTTAATAGAGACGGGGTTTCACCATATTAGCCAGGATGGTCTCGATCTTCTGACCTCGTGATCCGCCCACCTCGGCCTCCCAAAGTGCTGGGATTACAGGCGTGAGCCACCGCCCCCTACCACATGTTAATACTTTTTGTTGCATTGTGAAAAAAAGTTGACAGTATTTGTCAAATATTGAAAAACATGTTAACTGGAATAATGATTGACCCAGAGTTACTGAGTAGAATTAACATAATTTCATTCTCACATGTAGTGTGTTAGCATTTCTACCACATTAGTGATACATATAAAAATACACATTAATATAAGAACATTTAAGTATAAACATGTAATTCATTTATATGAAATGCATTCTTAAAATTTTCAGAATCTCAATCTTTGAGGCATGAAGTCACATCACACCAACACCTACCTGTAAGAGAGGTAATACAGAAAACTACTAGTCATGCAGTCCAGAATCTTGAATATATTTCCTTAAATAAGTAACAGATAATACTTTTTCGTAGAAAATGTTTAATTGCTTTGTGTTTTGTTTTCATTTTTAATTTTATTTTATAAGTTCCTGGGTACATGTGCAGGATGTGCAGGTTTGTTACACAGGTAAACATGTGCCATGGGGGTTTGCTGCACCTATAAACCAGTCACCTAGGTATTAAGCCCTGCCTGCATTAGGTATTGTGCTGATGCTCTCCCTTCCCCCACCCTTCACAACAGGCCTCAGTGTGTGTTGTTCCCCACCCTGTTTCCATGTGTTCTCATTGTTCATCTCCCACTTATGAGTGAGAACATGCGGTATTTGGTTTCATGTTCCTGTGTTAGTTTGCTGAGGATTATGGCCTCTAGCTTCATCCATGTCCCTGCAAAGGACATGATCTCATTTCTTTTTATGGCTGCATGGTATTCTATAGTGTATATATACCACATTTTCTTTATCCAGTCTATCATTGATGGACATTTGGGTTGGTTCCATATCTATGCTATTGTGAATAATGTTGCAGTAAATATACATGTGCATGTATCTTTATAACGGAATGAATTATATTCCTTTGAGTATATACCCAGTAATGGGACTGCTGGGTCAAATGGTGTTTCTGGTTCTAGATCCTTGAGGAATTGCCACACTGTCTTCCACAATGGCTGAACTAATTTACATTCCCACCAACAGTGTAAAAGCATTTCTTTTTCTCCACAGCATTCCCAGCATCTGTTGCTTCTTGACTTTTTAATAATCACCATCTGACTGGTGGGAGATGATATTTTGAATCTTATAGACTCAATATACTTGAGAAATAATGTTACAGTTTTCTTATTCCTTAGTTCAGCTAGGTCCAGTTTCTTGTCCCACGACCAAGAAGAATAACACATGTGGACACTGGAGAGTGAGTAAGGCAGAGTAGGATTTATTAAGTGACAGAAACCTCTCAATAGCAAGAAGGGACCCGATAATTGGTTGCCAAAAACGGGGCTAAGTTCTGGGTCTTTTATGTGGCAGAGGCAAGGAAGTCTTCTGTGGGTTCCACCCAAATAAGACAGGTAAATTTGCCCCCTGGAGGTGTTGTATCTGTGCATGCCTAGGGTTGGCCATAGCTACTCCATCTTGGTTATTATCCATGAGTGCCTAAGTAAAACTTATGGGGGACTAAAACTGCAATGCTAATGATATTACAGCTAGCTCTGGGTCAAGGTAAGGACATTTAGTTGATTTATTGTGCCTACACCTAAGTTGGGATAGTACTTTCTGAGCAAACATCCTGGCATAAGAGGAAGATCTTAACCACATTTCTTCTCGCTAGCTACAGGGTCAGTACAAGTGTGCTCCCACAGGTGTTTTTTCTCCCCCAAGACCCTCCCCTTCTATCTTCCTAGCCATCCTCTGTCTCCTCTCTCAATATGACACGTTTGTTATTATACATACTATTTGAAGTGATGAATATAATTTCAAAAAATAAACATATAAGTTAAGGATAAAATAATGCAGCTACACAATTCATAAGACAATAAAATATACTTATAACTGGAAGAAGAGCATTTTAGCTTTCTCAAATCCTTTGCTGGCTTGGATAGTTGCTCCTGCAACTGTTTGTACATAGTGATGTTACCAGACTATGAAGAGCACAATTTTGCCTATTCACTTTGCTTATCTCATAAACTCCTGGTATCTACCAATGCTTTCTGGAAATCTGGTGATAAGTACAAAACAACACTAAGTGAATTAGTGTTCAATTCCTAAGTGTCTCTGCATTATCATAATTATTACGAGGGGAGTGAAGCACTGTTGCTCAAGTCTAGTTCATTCCATCATTGATTTGGCCCATGGTTCACAAACATAAACTCTTACCTCTTAGTCTCACACTAATGCAATGAAGATATGATGATGAAAGTACAACATCTTCCTAGTAAGCTATTTTCCCTTAGAAGTCATTTCTTCAACATTTAGGTGAGAGGAAAAATGAGATGTTTTCTGCACTTTTGCTATGATTTAAAACTTAGTTGTTAGACTCCATAACTGAGAAAACTCCAAAATTCCTGTGTGCTATAAACTCAGTGGCTCCCCTGTGAGGTTTTATATAACTTTTCAGATGTACTTATTCCCTACTTTATGAGCAATTAGTCATTAATCTTAGCATCATATTATATAATAGTGTTTCTAAGACATTAAATTGTCAACTTTGAATGAGAAATCTGACATATTGTTGTATTTCAAAGATCTACTATCTTGATCAACATTTTTGTATGTATGAATGTAAGAAAAAAATAAATGAGACAGATTTAATATTTTATTTTAAAGTATATTAGTTAAGTAAATGTCTTCTCAGCTTCCCTATTAAGCTTATTTTCAAGAAGTAGATAATCTTTAATATTATTTATAGTTAAATTCTGGCTCAAATCTGTAAGGTTTCAATATTTCCATAAGACATAGCAAAGTTCCAAGGAGCTAGAGATTTTTCTAAGGTCTAGCATAGATTATGACATTTAGTAGGCACTCAATAAATATTTGTTGGATAAAAGATTGTGCTGAGAAAAATTCATGGCATACAAGAAACACAGTGAATGTTAAAAATAAAATTATCTCCCTAGCCATAAGTTACTAAAGATTTAATGCTTTTTTTTTGGGAGGCCAAAGTGAGGATATCACCTGAGGTCAGGATTTCAAGACCAGCCTGGCCAACATAGTGAAACCCTCCATCTCTACTAAAAATGCAAAAATTAGCAGGACATGGTGGCACACATCTGTAATCCCGCATACTTGGGAGGCTGAGGCAGGAGAATCACTTTATCCCAGGAGGTGGAGGCTGCAGTGAGCTGAGATCGCACCACTGCACTCCAGCGTGGGTGACAGAGTGAGACTCCATTAAAAAAAAAGACAATGATTTTGAGAAATGTACATTTAAGGGGGATGATACAAAGAGGTAACATGCTATGTAAGTTAAGTGCACACACACACACACACACACTGGTGAGGCTATACATGTGATATGGTTTGGCTGTATCCCCACCCAAATCTGATTTTGAATTGTAATTCCCATAATCCCCACATATTGTGGGAGGGACTCCATGAAAGGTGATTTGATTATGGAGGTGGTTCACTTATGCTGTTCTAATGATAATGAGTGAGTTCTCATGAGATCTGATTACTTTAAAAGAGACCCTTACCCCTTTGCTCTACACTTCTCCTTCCTGCCACCATGTGAAGAAGAACATGTTTGCTTCCTTTTCCACCATGATTGTAAGTTTCCTGAGGCCTCCCCAGCACTGCAGAACTGTATGTAAATTAAACTTCTTTACTTTGTAAATTACCCAGTCTTGTATATTTCTTCATAGCAGTATGAGAACAGACTAACACAGTAAATTGGTACTGCAGAAAGTGGGGCACTGCTCTAAAAATACCTGAAAATGGGGAAGCAACTTTGGAACTGGGTAACAGGCAGAGCTTGGAAAAACTTGGAGGGCTGAAGAAAGATAGGAAAATGTTGGAAAGTTTGGAACTTCCTAGAGTCATGTTGAATAGCTTTCAACAAATTGCTGATAATATGGAAAATGAAGTCCAGGCTGAGGTGGTCTGAAATGGAGATGAAGAACTTGTTGGGAACTGAAATAAAGGTGATTCTTGCTATGCTTTAGCAAAGAGACTGGTGGCATTTTTCCTCCGCCCTAGAGATCTGTGGAAATTTGAACTTGAAAGAGATTTAGGGCATCTGGCAGAAGAAATTTCTAAGCAGCAAAGCATTCAAGAGGTGACTTGGGTGATGTTAAAAGCATTCGGTTTTATGTATTCACAAAGATATGGTTTCAAATTGGTACTTATGTTTAAAAGGGAAGCAGAATGTAAGTCTGCAAAATATGCAGCCTGATGATGTGATAGAAAAAAAATTTTCTGAGGAGAAATTCAAGGAAGAGCCAAATGTTAATCACCAAGACAATGGGAAAAATGTCTCCAGTGCATTTCAGAGATCTTTGCAGCAGCCCATCCTTTCTCCTTCCTGCTGCCATGTAAAGAAGAATGTGTTTCCTTCCTTTTAAGGCATGATGGTAAGTTTCCTGAGGCTTCCGCAGCACTGTGTAACTGTGAGTCAATTAAACGTCTTCCTTTATACATTTCTCTGTCTTGGGTATTTTTTCATAGCAGCATGAGAACGGACTAATACAACATGCTATGTGAGTAAGCTTCATGACAGCCTCATAGAAAAATAGCCTTGATTCTATTCCAATTATCTCCTCCAATCCCTCCTTCTACAGAAATTCTGGATTATCTGTATTACTCCTCACTGTTATTAACCCAGCATTTCTTGAATAAGAGGATACAAGAAAAGGAAAAAGGAAGGACCTTATTTTTTACAGACTAAATAGACAAGTAAAAAATAGTATTATAGGGAAAACATTAACTCGAGTCACACTGTTACTGTCTAAAACAACTCCTTGGATATTATTTAAACACATTTTACAACTTTAATTTGGTCAAGTATATCACTAAATGCCATGATGTATCAGTTACATAAAAACATTTAATGACCAACAAAGGGAAAATTTTCCAAATTAGTTTATACTAAAATCAAGGTTATGATAATTTTTAAAAGGTATTAAAAACCGCTCTGTGCTAGTAGGGGAGTCTGATACCTTTTATATTTCATAAAATTATTTTCCAGAGTTATTTATGAGATATACTTTTTCAGTCAAGTTTGAAGAATTTTTCAGTAATATTTTATGTGAAACATTTGAATTCAAGAAGGCTAATGATATTCAAAATAGTAACAATAGTGCTATTTATTTTAATGAATTTTATCTACTTATTGGATGGAATTTTCAACTTCAAGATGTAACTTTGTTCTAATTAAATAGATAAGAATTTGTATTTAGTACATTCTCCAAATGCATATGACTTACATTTTTATCCTTCTAAATTAAATGCAATCATTCTTATAATATGTACACAATTGTTATTCTTTCTTTGGTCACTAGTTAACATGTCTATAATCTATAATCATTCTTTTACAGATTCATAATCACATATATTGGTGATTAGTGGTTTTCAATACTTAGTAAAAAATTGGTGGTTTCCAATACTACTTTTATGTGAGATTAGCTGTGTTTTTTAAAGTTTTATTTTGTTTTTAAGTGACAAATAATTTTACATATACATACACATACATATATAAAATTATTATATATACATATCAGTTATATAGACAAATATATATGCGCACATGTATATAGAAATGCACATGTATATATGAGTTGCAGTGTGATATTTCAATACATGTATTGAATACATGTATTGTATTCAATACACAATGTATACATTGTGTAAATCAAATCATGATCATTAGTATATCACCTGAAACACTTGTTATTTATTTGTGGTGGGAACATTCAAAATCCTCTCTTTTAGCAATTTTGAAACATACAACACATTACTAACTGTAGTTACCCTAGTGTGCAATAGAGCACCAGGACTTATTCGTCCTTTCTAACTGTAACTTTGTACAGTTAGTTGTACTAACATCCCTTCATCCCCCTTCCTCTCTGCTTCCCCACAGCCTCTCTACTTTTATGAGATCATTTTTTTTTTAGATTTCACAAATAAGTAAGATTATATGGTATTTGTTCTTTCATGCTTGAATTATTTTACTTAGCATAATGCCGTTTAGGTTCACCCATGTTGTCATCACAAGTGACAGAGTTTTATTCGTTTTTTAGCGATGAAGAGTACTGCATCCATGTACTACATTAAAAAAATCAACTTATGTGTCCTTGCTGGATACTTAGGTTGACAACAATAAATATGGGAGTGCAGTTATCTCTTCAACACACTCATTTCATTTTCTTTGGCTGTATATGCAATAGCGGAATTGTTGAATCAAGGGGTAGTTCTCTTTTTAAGTTTTTAAGGAATGTTTTTACTGTTGTCCACTTTTAAATGAAATTCACAATATATACATCTACTGCTTATTTTCAGGTGTATATTTTAGAATAGTTTCTGAATGAAATGTAATTATTAAAAATTAAGGTAAACATTTGACAAATGTATTTGTGACGAATTTTTTTTCTGAACACTTTCTAATAATGTACACTCTCAATTCAAGTGCATAGGTGACAGCACAATATAATTGTTGCCTATGCACTTGAGTGCAATATACTTTTCACCTATGCTCTTGAATTCAATGTGTACATTATTAGACATTTGTCAATAAAATGTGGCAAATTTTATGGATTTTTTATATCTGTTTTTGGTTGTTAATACTTTGTTCTTAATATATGAGATATTTGTGTTAATATTATTATTGACTTCCTTTCATGCTAGTTGCAAAACTTAAAAAATTATTGGCTTATTAGTTTTAATTCTCTAGGCAAAAAGATGTTTCAAAAACAAAAAGTCAAAACATAAGGATTAGATACATAATAAAATATTAATTTATAGTACATACACACATATATGTTTGTGTGTATGTACTATAAATTAATATACATATGTGTGTGTGTATACATATATATATGTGAACACTTTTCCTTTGAGACTCAGTCCTGCATTTTCACCCAGGCTGAAGTGCAGTGGCATGATCAGAGCTCATTGCAAGCTCAACCTCCTAGGCTCAAGCAATCCTCCCACCTCAGTCTCTCAAGTAGCTGGAACAACAAGCACATGCCACCATGCTCAGTTAATTTTTAATTTTTTTTTTTTTTTTTTTTTTTTTTTGTAGAAATGGCATCCTGCTATGTTGTCCAGACTGGTCTCAAACTCCTGGACTCAAGTCATCTGTCTACCTTGGCCTCCCAAAGTCTTGGGATTATAGGCATGAGCCACAGCACCCTGCCAATACATATGTTCTTATTTTAGATATTTTATTTCTTGATTCACCTCAAAGACAATATGGGGTATGCTGTGTGAAAATTTTTTTACATTAGCTTTCATTCAAATAACTCATAATTTAAGCCAATATCAGAAATTAATTTATTTAATATTTTCACAAATGTATGCTACTAATTTTATCATACAAGAAATTATGATAAAATGTGTCAAATATATCAGGGCAATATATTTTAATTTTTTCATTTCATTTTATTTTTAATATCTATGTTCAAAATTTTACTCGCATTTTTAAATCCCCCGGCTAGTCTTAATTTATGCCAGATTAAATATGACTTTATTTCATTTATATATAAATTATATAAATGCATAATTTAATATCCATTATAATATTTGGCATTTCTATTTATTATTTTTTCTAAATCAGTATTTACATATGAATATGAAGTTACATTTACATATTTTAAATATTTGTGTTATTCCTGGTATAAATTGAAAAATGTTCTAAAGTATTAGATTAACTTCATATCTATTATTGACATTCAGGCACTTTCATTAAATCCTCTAACTACTTCAATGAGTACATTCATTTCACAATTGTCACTTAATATTTAGTGGATCATAATCTTATAACATTTATATGAATTACTTCCCTAGTAGCTATAACTTCATCATTATTGTTATTTCTGTGTTGTGTTGTATTGACTAGGGTGCGCAGTACTTTTCAGATAATCTTGGCTTCTAAACTTGTGACTTCTGATTCTTATATTCATTTAGGTCTCAGACCTTTGCTCATCCTGCTTTCGTTTTACTCACTTGCTTTTGTCTTCAACAATTATGAAGCATTTTAATCACTATACTTTGCCAAGATCGATGAAATAGTTTCCTGAGTGATTATTTTTTGTTTGACTCTTTTAGGAAAGTGTTTTCTCTATGATTTTCTGAAATGTCAAATTTGAAGAATCTAGCCCCTCAAAATTCTTTTACATTATTTTTCTCCACTCAGTTTTCACTCTTTTCAGTGAATGAGTTCAAAAGTTCCCTACTGAACTGCTTGTCTTCTATAAACAACAGATTTTCTAGTACATCCATGACTTGGTTTTTATTTTCTCTTTTTAGTAAGACTTGTCACCTTTTCTACAGTAAGCATGTTCAATCCGTCCTCCTTCAAGACAAAAGTTAGTGAGTCATAATGCCCCAAGTGAGTCTTGGGGTATTTACAAAACAATGTTAACACATTACGGAAAGTCCAAGGTTAAATGTGTGCACAGTTTCATTGGGCAAACATAGGCTAGGGACATTTTGATGGGAACACACCAAGGAAGGTCAGGATAGTCAGGTAGAAGGGTCAAAAAAAAAAAGAGGTAGGCAAAATGAAATATGAGAACATGTATGAGGAATGCTATTGGCCCTACTTGTACCCATAGAGGGAAGTCATTAATCTTCCCTCTATGGGTACAAGTAGGGCCAATAGCATTCCTCATACCTGCTTCGTCCCCAGGAAATAAGAAGTGCATATACATATTGGTCCCCAGGAAATAAGAAGCTGGTAAGAACAAGGCAGAAAATGTGCCCCTGAAGTCCATGAAGGTGAATTAAGAGATTCCCGGTAACCACCTGATCTTGTCAGCAGTAGCAAGCAGCCTGGTTGCCTTACCTAGGAATTCAGGAAGACTGCTATTTTAAAATTCTGCTGATGCATTTGGGAACTTGGTAGTTGTTTCAAGAGGAACATGTTTTCTTAAGAACACTACTGATACCCAGTGTGTCCTGCGGATAAAATGATTACTTCAACAGCTCTGGGAGAGCGGTAGCCTGCAGACTGCTGGGCACTCATGAAGATAACCTATGAAGGACTGGCTGGTAGGGAAGCACTGCCTGGAGGGACTCCTGTGTGGAGCCATACATGAAAAAAGATGCAGAAAGAAAAAACAACCTTCCAAACACAAACAAGAAATAAGACTATTACCTTAGGATTCTACAACTATTTTGCTATGAGTTCAGTAGCATTATCTTACAAATATCCACTGTTTTAGAAAAAAAAAGCATTCTACTAAAATAAATGCACATTAAAAATTTAATCTGGTTCCACTGTATGTCAAAATAGCATATATTCCTAAATAATATTTTATTAGATACCATATGAAAATGAAATCCATAGCAATAAGGAAGAAAAATTATGGGTTTTTTTTTCCACGACAAAATGTTGCTTTTCAGCATCTGTGCCCTTGAGAAATGATACTTTGACATGGGCATTGGGTAGAAAAATAGATAAGTAGATGTTTAATAGATGGATATTTCAAAGTTTTTGTTTTGTTTTGTTCATTTTGTTGTTTAAAGTGTGTTAGGTACAATATCTTCTTTTTCTTTTTTAACTAGCCAGATTTCACTATGTGAAAATTTTACCTAGGATAAAATTAGTTTCTTCTCTTATCATCTCTACCTAGAAATTAATTTATAAGGCAAGAAAAAAATTCTCGAGCTCTTTGGTGAGTAGTAACAGTTCTTTGCAACTTATATTATTTAAAGATTCAGTAATGGTTCATATTATTTCTACACTTCTCAATCTGATTGGCTGCACCATTTATAAAAAGTCTAATAATTTATTATTATTTTCAGAGACTTTAGTTCTTCTTCTATTTCTTTTTTTTATGCTCAAAGATCCCTGTCAAATGTTACATTCACCTTCCAATTCAGATCACCTGCGGCCAAGAGTGTGTAGGGCTTCAGGACCCTGGTTATCCCCTATAGTTTTATACAAAATTGCTTTTTTTTTTAACCACAAAATAGGAATGTGAATGTAAGCTCTGTAATTTTTGTTGTGCTTAAACACTGAAAGATAAGATTACAGTGCTTGAGGAGATTTTTTGTCTTTTAACCAGTCACTGTCAAAATGAAATCTCACAGTGTATAGCCTCAAGAAAATAAAATTTCTATCATGGAAAATAGATACTTCACTATATGCAATGACAAGGAGGCCTACCATGGGGAAGGTGTGAGCCATGCAGACTTTCAGAGAATGCAAGTTAATAAAATCTGTATTTTCTCACCTTGAGTCATGTAATTTTTCTAGAGATAGATGAGTTGAATAAAGTTTTGGACAAACTTCTGAGGCCAGCTCATTTGTGTGGAGAATTGCCCTCATCATACTCTAGAGCTCATGGTAGAGGGACTGAATTGTGCTCAAGGATCTATAGATATGTCTGACTGTGAGTGTTATGTGTGCCCTGGAACAGGCAACTGTCATAAATATCTGTATCCTGAAAATGCAAAACTTCTATCCATATAAATAGGACAATATTTTTAAGTTTTCTTGATACAGTATATGGTACCTTCTAGATATAGCATAAGGAAGTGAAGGAATACACGTTACAGGCCTGTTGGTGAATATAGTAAAATTAATTGGGATGTATGTTATGAACATGCACAAATGCGGAAGAAAAAGCAACAACTCAAACTCAACACAAGCTAAGAAGTTTTTGTAAAAGCTTTGCAAAGCATAAAGCCTTTCTTCCTCTAAGAAAATAAAGGGTCTCTGATGGGATAGAAATAGTTACTTCATTAAAAATCATTTGCGTTTGATATTCTTTATCAAATATTGATGTTGATATTGAATATTGATATTCTTAGCCTATAGTTAGCATTTTATTTCTATGGAAAGAATAAATATTTCTATAATAGCATATGAGTCCTGGCAAATTTCCATAAACTTTTTGCTTAAAACAACACAAATTTATTGTCTTATTATTCCGTAGGTCAGAAGTCCAACCTGGGTCTCCCTGGGCTAACATCAAGGTGTTGGCAGGGCCGTGTTCCCTTCTGGAGGCTCCAGGGAAGGGTGTGTTGCCTACTCTTTCTGGCTTCTAGGGCTGTCTGTTACCTTGGCCTTAGAACTTGTCTTCTATATTCAAAGTCATGATTATTGCATATTTAGAACACTTATTTCATAGTTATCTATGATTTTTACTCACCTCAGCAGACAATTATTTTCTACTTTTATGTACTCTTGTTCTGAGTTCACTCAGACAATCCAGGATAACTCTCCCTCTCAAGATCCATAGGGTCAGTCACATTTTCAATGTCTCTTTTGCCACATAAGGCAACATATTAACAGTTTCTGGAAATTAGGGAATGGATATCCTGGAAAAGGGAGAGGGAGTTATTCTTCCTACCCCACTTCTCAGTAATATTATTTCTAAACACGTGGTTCTTAATATTAAAAATTGTTAATGTGTCTTAAGCTGCTTCAGTTCATCTAGAATGATATAAAACGTTTTCACTGATGTCTTTTTCCATCTCAATAACAAACATTTTAATTCAAAATATGGAAAAGTTGGAATAAAATATTGGAAGATACCCTCATAAATTTTCCTTTAAAAACCCAAGTTATGATTCTAGTTAGAATATTGAATATCACCAGAAATCATCGCTTCGATACTAAAAAGTATAAGTTGAATAAACTATAACAATTAATGTTTTAAATACATTGGAGGCCTAAAGGTGCAAAAAAAAAATTAAATTAAACAAATTCCAAAAAAGGGATGAGCCCCAGAAATGAAGAGATCTTTTTCTAATATGAGCCACAGTCCTACAGATGGTGGAGGTGTGAATTCTTGTGGAAGGGGTTAGTAATTAGCCAAATTGTAATTGCCTTGGTGGGCTAGTTTGAGGAATTAGAATTCCCAAGAACTCCAGTCATAGAGTCCACTGTGGGGCAAGACCTAAACTTACGGTGTAATGTTATGTGCTATTTTGATATCTGATAAAGTTGGGGGTTGCTTAATGGCCTGATATGGTTTGGCTCTGTGTCCCCACCCAAATCTCATCTTGTAGCTCCCATAATTCCCATGTGTTGTGGAAAGGACCCAGTGGTAGATAATTGAATCATGAGAGTGGGTCTTTCCCATTCTGTTCTCATGATAGTGAATAAGTCTCACGAGATCTGATGGTTTTAAAATGGGAGTTTCCCTGCACAAGCGCTCTCTTTGCCTGCTGCCATAGTGTAAGATGTGACTTGCTCCTCCTTGCCTTCCACCACGATTGTGAGGCCTCTCCAGCCATGTGGAACTACAAGTCTATTAAAACTCTTTCTTTTGTAATTTGCCCAGTCTCGGGTATGTCTTGATCAGCAGCATGAAAACGGACTAATGCATGGCCTATTTGCAAGTTCACCTCCCACCTCTGCTCCTACACATATGGTCTGTTAGCCACCCAATCCTCCTTATCAATATTCCAGGTGTAGTTCTTGCTACCCTGAGTAGTGGTCTTCAATTCTCTGCCAACCTGTGGAACTATGTAGAGAAACCAATTACATCCTGCCATGAGCACCAGTGGGCACCTCACCTCTTGATACTATGAAGTCTGCCTCCCACACCCCCTGATTGTTAACTCTGTTCCTAAAAGCAACTCCTATGTGACCTTGAATGACATGTGGAGTTATCCTCTCTTGGGTGAGTATATATGATCAATAAACTGCTGTCAATTTTGTCTGTCCAGCATTAGGTGACACGTGGTCAATGATTCTCATAACCCTAGGATGAGAATCCCTCTGTCACCAACAGGGTGAAGAGGAGGTGATCAAAACATCCATCCACAGGGCCAACATGCATTCTAGGTGAACATGCATCCTCAGTGAGGCAATACCACCCTTGAGTGGGTGAAAGCTGGTTCTTGTGGGGTAAAAGAAAATCTTACCCTTTTCATGTATAAAACACAGATATGCACACAGTATATAAATAGATACACAATTATCTGTGGCATTAAAATACCATGAAGGGCAATTAGGAAAAAGTAATCTAAGAAAATTGAGAAACTCTTAATTAGTGTAGGATGGCATTAAGACAATAGCTTGAAGCAGGACAGAATGACCACAAGAAACCTTCACCTCCCTGCATGGTTCAAGAACCTCTCTTACAGTTAGCTAAAAACCAGCTGAAGTCTTGAGACACAGCAGAAGAGCTGCAGACTTCCCAAGTTGAATGGGGCCATTCAGAAATGCATCAGTGGCCCTTAACAGACTGGAGCAGAGCAGAAAGGTTGAAAAATCTCCTACCAGGCACACAAAGCAGTCCCTGAGTGCACAGCTATTACCGTCCAACCAAAAGAGTGAGTAGACGCACTAGGAGAAATGCCCCTGAAGGGCATAGGGCTCTACTCAATAAAAGCCATAATGATCTTGGAGAGAAATCCCCCTAGGTGTGCAGAGTCTTAAGGAAAAGCAATGAAAGCATAGAAAGAATTTCCTAAAGTGGCAAAACCAGCGAAATAACTGAGGAGCAAAGTGATCTCAGCAGCAAAGTAAAAGCCGGTGCTGGGCTGCAGTGCAGAAAGAGGTCTCCTATAGCTAAGAAATCTGGTATTTGGATTGAAAACGTTCTGATTCCACTCTCAAAACATGTAAGCCATGGGCAACTAAATCTAACTCATGTTACAAGAAGTCCCACATATTTGTTTTCTATCACTGCATAACGCTCTGTCACAATGGAAAAGCTTAAAGCAATACAGATTTATTACCTCTAAGTATAGGTGTCTGACCAGGTCCCACTTCATAAACAGCACCTCTGTCCTCAACAAGGTAGAAAGAGTGAGGGGTCTTCCTTAGACCTCTTTTATAAGGGCACTAATTTCACTCACGAGGGCTCTGCCCTCATTATCTAATCACGTCCCAGAGTCTCCACCTCCCATATCACCCCTTTGGGGGTTAGGATTAATTTGGGGGAGACATAAGCATTGGGTGCAGGTTAACTGAGTCCTCTGCTCAAGGTGTCAAAAGTTGTCAGCCAGTGATGAGCTCTCATCTGAGGCTTGGAGTCCTCTTTCCAGTTAGCATAGTTTGGGCTGTATTCAGTTCCTTGAGGTTGTAGGACAGAGGTCCCTCTTTTCTTGCCAACTGACATCCTGGGGCTGCTCTCAGCAACCAACGGCCTCCTGCAGTGCTTTACCCTGTAGTTCACAAAACCAACATAGTAGGTTACTTGTTCTAAGTTACTGTGAGAATCTTTCTCTCTTTGCATCTCTGACCCTTTGAAATCCCCTCATCTGAATAAATCAGACCCATCCAAGTTACTCTCCCTTTTGATATCTTGAAATCAACTGTTTTGAACCTTAATTACATCT
This sequence comes from Homo sapiens, assembly GCF_000001405.40. Taxonomy (NCBI): domain Eukaryota; kingdom Metazoa; phylum Chordata; class Mammalia; order Primates; family Hominidae; genus Homo; species Homo sapiens. The sequence continues at coordinate 89,117,678 of NC_000013.11, read as the reverse complement.
AAAACTTCCTTCAGTTTTGTGATATATTATAAACTAATCACAAGAGTGATGCTCCGTCATATTAACAGTCCCACCCAAGGCCAGGGGCATATACACAGCATGTGCACCTGGGGAGGGATCATGGGCGGTGGCTCACACCTGTAATCCCGGCACTTTGGGAGGTCAAGGCAAGCAGATCACCTGAGTTCAGGAGTTCAAGACCAACCTGGTCAACATGGTGAAACCCCATCTCTACTAAAAAAAAAAAAATACAAAATATTAGCTGGGCATGGTGGCAGGTGCCTGTAATCCCAGCATTCGGGAGGCTGAGGCAGGAGAATCGCTTGAATCCAGAAGGCAGAGGTTGCAGTGAGGTGAGATTGCGCCATTGCACACATCTTCCCACCTCAAAAAAAGAATTCTGTCCACTAAATCTCATAACAAGCTCTTGTTCATGTAAATTTGACCGTTTCCTTCAACCTGGCAGTAGTCTTTCTTCAGGGGATACATTTTATTTGCATTAGGTGCTTCTCTTGTTATATACAAAATATCTAGAACATAAAAACAAAGCAAAGCAAAGAAAATGAGAGTGCAATTCATAATCAATGGACAAAAATCCCCAACAATGCTAATACAAAGAGACAGATAACCTAGATGTTGTGATTAGCAGCTAATGACTTAAAAACAGCAAGGATAAATATACAAAATTTTCCAATGGAAAATGTGGATGATGTACATGAAAAATGAGGGATTTTAGAAGAGAAATGGAAGAATAGAGAGAACAAAAATATAACAACAGGATGAGTTGTCTTCTGCTTGGCATTGTGAATGTAATCTGTATCTAAGTGCCTAGAGTTACGTTAGCCTAGGCAGGTGCTCATCTTTCTCCTCCATGTCTACCTTCTCCATTCTTATTTATTTTAAAAGCAGCTAAAACAAAGGCTGAAATTACACATTTTCATTACCAATAAACTATTGTTGATATAAACTATTGTTGATAAACGTTAGGAGTCAATGGAACACATTCTTAAAACTATTCCCATTTAAGAGAACTCACTATTCTATTTTCCATCTCAAACTGTACTCCCACTTTTCCCCTGTTTCGTTCATCCAAGCTTACTGGACAGGGTTATAAACTGAGTTCCACATAATAGCAACTATTCTATTGGCAATCATTTAGTATGTCATAACATTAAGGATAAACCCTATTTCTCATGTTCAGAGAGATTTTCTAAACATTCTGCTTCCATAGAAAAAACAAATCTCAAAAAAATTAGTTCTCAGTTTAATTTTATAAAGTTAATTATTAGTTATATAAGCTCACACTAATATGTCTTAACCAACCCAGACTTGTGTGTATCAATTCCTTATATAATTGATATGTTTGTCATATTATATGATAAGATCTATTAACTTTCTGAAAACTTTCTAAGTGGAAGTTTTCAATTCAAACACTCTTGAGTATCTTACTTTCCAAAGTTCCAGTGAGTCGTAAAATACATTAAACTATTTCATCATGAGCCAACATCTACAAAATTTACAAAGCATAAATAAAAGTCAGAACTAAATATAAACATTTCTGCCATTTATACTCTAAATATTAATTCCTTTCACATTACTATTCTCAAGTGTAATAGACAATTCAAAAACCCAGAACTAACTGCAAATTCTGTCAATACTCCTGTTGCCAATTGAGTTTTAATATTCTCTGAGGAAGAAATACAAACAGAAAAAAAATAAAGAGAAAAAATAAAAAGAGGAAACACTTTTGTTTTAGTTTGCTGAATTGTGACTTAAACCAATACCAGTTTTCAGAATCTAGTATCTATGATGTCATTTAGGGGAAAAATTCTATTAAATATTTTATAATCATATTATTTATGAAATTAGTTTTGTTGCCATAGAAATGACTCCAAATGACAATGTAATTACCATAATAAAAAACCTAGGATATCCAATATCTTAGGGTGCTATTGCTTCTCATGCTGTGCTCTGTGTGGAAAAGCAGTAAGTTATCTGTCATGGTAATAAGAACCTATGCATTCTTATTACTGAACTCACCACAAGCTGTTTATCTAAAGTGTGAACCCCATTTTATCTTGATAACTGAGTTACAATGTGAGATAATATGTCTATTAAGAAAATAAGGCACAGAGATGTTGAGCAATTTTCCCCAAATCACACAGTAAGTAGAGCCAAGATCCAGCACGCCCCTAGAGGTTGCATTTCCAATTACACATTCTATCACCGGAGCCCTTCTCTCTTTGGATGAATGAAAGTGTTCAACTCTGACCTTTCAATGAAGAGATGTAAAACGAGACATCAAAGGTTTTTCCAGCCAAAAGAGATTTCAGTATTTTATTGGGCAAATATTTCTGAAGGACCCATTATGTTTGAGGCACTTTCTAGATGTTGGGAATATATCAGCGAACAAAACAAACAAATAAACAAAGAGACAGACCAAAAAAATTCCTGTCTTTCATTAGGTAATAATTTAGAAGGGAGATTGACAAACAAACAAAAATAATAAGTACCATGATAGCATATAAAATTCCTATGGATAAAGAGATAATGAAAAAGGAGATCTACAGTTCTTGAGAAATTATTTTAATTTTAGTGTGGTGGTGGCAGTTTGGGGATCAGGCCAAGTCTCGTGAATATGGTGATATTTGAGCATAAACTTCTACTATGTCTCAGTTTAATATCTTGACCCCTTATTGGCTAAGAACAGGAAGGTCTGGCCTTTATTTTTATTAGCCATGACAACAAAACTTGCACCAGTTGGAAAATATCTAGAGGGGAGGAAAAGAGAACAAAATTTTATTATATTATATTCCTCCCACCTATTCTACTAGCATTCTTACTGTGAAAAAAAATCATATCTGAAATCAGCCAGAGAACCTCTCTGTAGGCCATCTAGGAATAAAAGGGTTACTTACCACAGCTTGAATCTGGTAACAAGTTATAAGAATGTGAGAGTCCCTATCTGGTGAGTTAGAGTGCTCCCAGTACTGAGAACTAATAATTTTTAGAAATAACGTCAGGAAGTATGAATGAATGCTTTCTGTAGCACTCTCCAAAGTAAATATATTTTCTCCTTATTGTCACCTCAAGCTGAGTGAGTGGACAGGACTTCCCGTACATTATATTATTTTTTTCTTCCATATTTTCCAAATTTATGTTCCAACTTCTTGAATTGCACATTATTATCAAAGTGAAAAGAGAAAATGTGCAATAATTTTTAAATGATACATTTAAAAATTTTACTGACACCTTGCACCCAATGGAATTGTTACAAAAATAACTCTAAGTAAAAGTAGTTGGAAATGATTCACTATGTATTATAATCAAGACCTCAAATATACGCATGTTCAGGCTACATATTAAAATGTGACTAGAATGAGGACCTAACATACCTTGATTTGTCATACAGAAACCTGAACATTAATATAATACTAAATGTTAAAAAGTGATATCCACATAAATATTTTCTCCTTTTTAGTATACAAGTGTGACTATTTTGCATAACAATAAACAAACAGGACTAGCTTGGTTCTTAATCTGGGAATAAATAATTGGACAAATCTGCTTAACAATGGGATGAGTTCAGCTCAGCTCAATTTGAATGAGGGACGAATTTTGGCAGTTGAAATTACCACAATGCAAAACAAAGGCAAGCTTACCTTGATCCTCGAATGGCAAAATTTCAGTGTGTCATGGAGAATTAATGCTGCTGTAGTGTGGTGTCGCCTGTTCATCTGAGGAGCAAGGAGCCTCAGGAATTCAAAGCAAGCCTTGGCTGAAGTGATCACAATGGGACTTAGGACAGACCCAGGAGCCCCCTTCTAGACTTGAATTAACACATACGTTTAAAACAACTGGGTAAAACGTGTTTGTTTCTTGGACTATAGTAAATTAAAAAATATGTTATTCTTGTTCTAAATAATATCAATTCTTACATGGAAAGCATGACCAGATTTGTCTGACCAATAGAATAATAGAGTGGAATGAAGTGATTCTCTGTCTCTACCTCTTCTGCCTGTGTGTGTGTGTGTGTGTGTGTGCGTGTGTGTGTGTGAGAGAGAGAGAGAGAGAGAGAAAACAATACTACAAATCAGTTTGTTCATATTATTAAAGTTGTGAATGCCAAATGATTTCAGAAACACAAGAAGAAGCTGCCAGTATTTTTATTTAATGACATGAAAGGAAAACCTTGTACAGGGACCCTAACATGTATACAGCCTGTATATCACATCTGTTTATAGATTTAGAAATCTACACATCTTCAGCTCCACAATTAATGATGCCAGACAGAACATTCTGGATTTCACTGACCTGGATAAACTGGATTCTTCAATATCAGACTTAACACTCCTTCTGAAAAGAGAAAAAAAAAATCTATCTTTCAAACATATACAGAATATTTAATGCATTAGGATGCTTTCTTCAAGGAGCTAATTTGAAGAAATCTGCCACGAAGTATGATTTATAGTATCTGCTTTGAATAAATGCAAAGGTGGACATTAGTAATATTTCATATTGATAACTAGTCCAGTGCAATTCACTATACTTTAATCCAAAAAATTGCATTATTTTTTCAATAATTGATTGGAGTAAAGTTTTCTTAAATATAATTTTGTAAAATTTTCAATGTTAAACAATTAAAGTAAAATATTTGCTAAATGTTTTGTGTACATTTTACTGGAAACTTCACAAATTTAATTTCACTTTTAATTAATTTATAAAATATGATATTATTTCAACTTTTTTCAAAGACATACTCATCTTTTTTTAATCTGTAAAAAATAAAATTTAAAATAAAATATGATATTTCTATATAACCACAAATGGAATTAGGAATGAAAAGAAACTTTTGGTAGATTTGACAAGTGTGATAATATGTTTGTGCCCAGTTTACTGAGTAATTCAACTCCCAGGAATTCAGCCGCAAATAAACTTTCACAAACACGCATTTTTATATTTTCTAGAATGATTGTGGCATTTGTTTCTAGGAATATGACAAAACCTATGTACCCACATGATGCTAGTTAGTTATGTTACTGAAGTATATCCCCCTCAAAAAATCCACCACTAGCTGATGTTAAAAATAAATTACGTACATGCATACATCCATGCATGCTGAAGTAAGAACACATCCAGAATTTTTGAAAATGATTTTCAGAGTTTACTTCTCACACTGTTAGAAGCCGGTGCGACTAGCCCCATTTTTTTTAAATGAATAATTATGTAACAAGTTAGTATTGTTAATAAAATAGTTCATATTGTCTTGAGTTTGAATTGACAGGGGATTTATTTGGTTATATTTTAGTTTGCATGGTAGGAATGGACATAAACTAATTTGGGAGTTCTGAGGTTTTTGTTTTAATAATATATTTTTATAATGTGTATCTAATCGTTCTTGACAGTTTTTGTAAGAAAGCCTCACACACATTATGTACAGTAAGTCTATTAAAGAAAGCCATGATGAAGTAAACTAGACAAGCTTTACTTTCCTCTCCTAAATACCAACAAAACTGAAAAAAAATTAAAAATTAAAACAGTGCTTTTTAGACTTCGCACCATTAGGTAGCACATGATTATAATCCCTGTTAAAATGTTTTGATTCATCAAAATCACCTCACTTTATGTAACATGTTTAATTTATTTTGACATTTATTAAATTTTATAAAATATCTTTTTATATTTGACAACAATCAGATCACTAAATAAATGTAAATTGTGTTTTATGATTTTTATTATTCTAACCTCTAGGTAATCTGTCATGTTCAAAGGTAACATTCTTTTCTAAACTGATCATTACATTATGCATTCTATAATACTGCTGAAAATAATAATAAGGTATCTACAAGCAGAGTGCTATACATATTTTTGTGTGAAGATAACCACTATTACAATGCTAGTAGAGGTTTAAATGAACTGTCTTATTTTTGTCTCTTGACATCTGTGACAATCTAATAACTGATTAATATTCTATCTTGGGAAATTTGTACATTGACTGCAGTTTCTAAGAGTTTATATGAACATAGCTAAAGCAATAATGAGCCTGATGTAAATCAAATTCAGCGGGAGCTTTAATTTTTCCTCTAATAACCTTAAAATGCCAACATATACTGTGTAATATATTATAGGAGTATCCAGAGGCAATGCTAAATTTGATGAATCTCAAAATTTTAATGATCTCAACTGTGTTTAACATATTGAAGGATATTGGGATTTATTTATAGCTTCATAATAACTTTGAAATGAAGAAAATTCTGGACTGTACATACTGCTACTTTTTTTTTCAATTTAAATGGTAAAAATGTGTGTGCCATATTTATGGCATATTTTCTCACTCCAATTTAAACACCAGAATGTGCTTATGAAACATTGTATTTGCCGGAATATAAAATAGCTATCCAAGATCATCTTGACTTGCTATCATATAAATGGTAGAATATAGCTATTTCTTACCTCCCTTGAGTTGGGATAAATGACAAATGTTTGGCTCATGTATAAAAAATTTAATCTCATTAATTTTCTATATGGACACTATTTTATATAATAAAATTCAATGTCAGTGCTGCCCTTGCTAGTTATATGGAGAAATACAAGCACTATAATTAGCAATGAGTTTATTTTCTAGCATAGTAGGCAGAAATCTAGCCCCCCGCAGGAAGATAAAAATGGAAAAGCAAATTAAAATGGATTTGAGCCAGGACATTGCTAGATCAATACCTGGCACTCATAGACCTGCTTAGCAAAAGTTCCATGGCTATTCAGCAATCCTGTTACTCCAACCAAATGACCAAATGCTACCTATGCATATTTTCTGAGAAGGCAAAGAATAAAATCAAAAAGGACAAAGATTAAGAGTAACTCTTAAGAATTACTCATATTAACATATCTAGAAGCAATTTTGCTATCAATCATATTATTATCTCCCTAACTACACATATAATACATATACATATATATTTATATCTATATATGCTGAACTGAACTTACAAAATTGAAAAAAATAAAACTGCTTTTTAGACTTTGCACAATTAGGTAGCATATGGTTATAATCCTTGTCAAAATATTTATGTTATTTACATATGTATATGTATAAATTAGAAGTACTTTACAAGAGCTTTTATTTGTACATCTTAAATGGAGATTTTTGTTTCTGAAAATTCATTTCTTTCCTTTATGAATATGCTTCAGCTATGGGTGGGTATGACTCTGTCCCCAGCATTAAGTGTGGCCCTGGTTGGCCTATAAAACTTACATGGTATCTCATCTCATTTTCCATAGTGATTGGTTCAGCTCTGCACAGCATATCTAACTAAAATCTTCAGTGCACATAATTCTCCTGTCCACAGTGAAAGGTACAGTGTTATGTGTATGCAAATAAGCTCATCTCTCCATTATTTTTAATAGACAAAAAGTATATATTGATTATGTACAACATATTTTTTTACGTACAACAGGAAGTTTCAAAACATGTATACATTGTGGAAATATGTATACATTGTGCTAATTTGAGCTAATCAACATTATGAACTGCCTCACTTGTTTGTCATTTTTTTTTTTTTTTTGGTGAGAACACATAATATACTCTCAGCAGTTTTCAATAATAGCATGTATAATTAACTATAGTCACCATGTTGTACAGTAGAACTCTTGAAGCTATTCTTTCTATCTATTTGAAATTTTTTATCCTTTGACCAATATCCCAACCTCCCCACCCCATCCCATATCCGCTTGTAACCACGATTCTACTCTCTGCATCTACTAATTTGATTTTTTGTTTTTAGATTCCACATGTAGGTGAGATATTTTTCTTTCTCTCTATGGTTTATTTTTCTTAACATAATGCCCTCTAGGTTCACCCATCTTGTTGCAAATGAGAGGATTTTCTTCTTTTTTAAGGCTGAATAGTATTCCCTTGTGTAAATATAACACATTTTCTTCATTCATCTGTTGATGGACACTTAGGTTGATTCCATATCTTGGTAATTATTAATGATTCTACAATAAACATATGAGTGCAGACATCTCTTCACTATGCTGATTTGTTGAAATATATAGCCAGTAGTGGGATTGCTGGGTCATATGATAGTTCTACTTTTAATTATTTGAGGAGCTTCCCCATTGTTTTCCATAATGGCTGTACAATAGTTCTTTCTTACTCATGATTCCACTTTTTTGGTTTCAGTTACCCATGGTCAACCATGGTGTAAAAGTATTACAGACAGTAATATATTTTGAGACAGTGAGAGTCCATATGCATATAGCTTTTATTATAGCTTATTGTTATCATTGTTCTATTTTATTATTTATTGCCCTTAATCTTTTATTATGCCTAATTCCTAAGTTAAACTTTATTATGGATTTGTAGGTATTGGGACTAACATAATATGCATCTGTGTTTTTAGGGATGCACTGGGGGTCTTGAAATTTATCCTTTTAGAAGAAAGAGGGACTACTGTGCTAAGTTACATTCCCACCAATAGTGTTCACATCCTCCCCAACACTATCTCTTCTTTTTTTAATAATAGCTATTCATTAATGTTTTAATGAAAGAAAATATCTCTCGTCACTTTATGGGCAGTTATGAGGGATCCTATAGCTGTAATTGAACATAAAGGCAAAGAGGAAAGAGAGATGTAAAAAAAATGGGAAAATTGGCAATATCACTGTTGGTTGGATAAAGCTTATTGAATAGTTTGTAGCCTTCTCTACTTCTGAACTTTTTAGTTACGTGAGCTAGTACATTACTTTTATTCTTAGCCAGTTGAAGTGGGTTTTCTAACAAATGCACCAGAATAATATGTGTGCCATGCCCTTGCTGAGTAATACTAGTAAGAAAATCATTCTGAACACCTAATGCATATTTTGTGGGCTTCTTCATCTTTTTAAGGCCCCATTCATTATTGAAAATGACTAGTGAAAATCCTATAACCTGCAATTTTCAGAACAAACTGTCTCACTTACAGCAGTACATTATTATGTGCCTCTTTTCAACATCTAGGCATTGCTTCTAGACCTGAGACCTGCGTTCTTCTGAGATGCTTCTTTAGGTGCCTTATATGGACATTCCCTTGTTAAATTATTTTACCTGGGGAGATACACTTCTGCAACACTCCACCCAATTAGAAAAAAAAACTAGTTGCTTGACTCTAATAGATTTTTGAGTTCATTTTCATATTCATCTGTTGTTCAGGTCTTGCCACAGCTCTAAAATATTGTGAGATTTTAAAATTCTTTAACACTTTAGCCTGACCTACCCTCTACTGCTCTACTTGTCTGCTAATTATGTGGGTATAATTGGACATTGAACTTGAATTTGGCAATGTCAGAGCATAGCCTTCTCAAAGGAATGAGAAAGTGGCATATGATATTAGAAAAATTAATTGTGGTGTAGATTTTTCAGAACTTTACATAAATCTACTGATTTTTCTCATTTCAGCTTTAATCCATGGGTTCTGGCATTACCTATATGGAAGTGTCATAGTGGGAGCCAAGAAAAATGATGGGCAATTATTAGATTTAAATTTTTATATCATTGAGCTAGTGTTAAGAAAGGAACATTGTGAGAAGAATTACAATTAAATGTCTGTCTGGATTTTAGAAACTAGATTGATGTTTCCAAACTTAGGAAAAGTGGGCTAGAAAAAGAGGAATTGTACAGCAGAGAAGATATTATATTTAGGTATGATGAAAGGCCCTGGAAATGGAAGCTTCTAATCCAGAACAGCAGTGTATGTGTGTGTGTGTGTGTGTGTGTGTGTGTGTGTGTGTGTGTGTGTGTGTGTTTTAGGTATGATGAAAGGCCCTGGAAATCAAGCTTCTAATCCAGAACAGCAGTGTGTGTGTGTGTGTGTGTGTGTGTGTGTGTGTGTGTGTGTATGTATGTGTGTCTGAGAGACCAATTCAGAGAAAGAGGCAGAGAAACCTCCAGAAACAGACAGAAGCAGACAGAAAGACAGACAATAGAAACTTCAGCACTCCATTTAAGTTAAATATTCATCATTAAGTAGAAGGGGCCTGTGCCTCACTCTCTTAGTGAAGTGAAGGAGGGGATCTCATATAATGACTTGTTCCTTAGCCCAACATAAAAGTAGAAATAACGGCATAACTTATGTAGTCATAATAAGTCAGAGAGAGCCCTTATGTTTTTCTCTGAAACTAAATGCATAAAAGAGCATCTGTGAGGGATATGGAAGAGTTTGTTGATGGCCTAAAGATAAAAAACAAACAAACAAAAAAACCCATTTAACTATAAAGAGTATATGGCAGTCACTGTAAAAGAGCAGATTTCACTAGGCGCGGTGGCTCACGCCTGTAATCCTAGCGCTTTGGGAGGCCGAGGCGGGTGGATAACATGAGGTTGGGAGTTACAGCCCAGCCTGGCCAACATGGCAAAACCTCATCTCTACAAAAATACAAAAATTAACCAGGCATGGTGGTGTGCGCCTTTAATCCCAGATACTCAGGAGGCTGAGGTGGAAGAATCGCTTGGATCCAGGAGGCGGAAGTTGCAGTGAGCCGAGATCGCACCATCGCACTCCAGCATGGGCGACAGAGCGAGACTCCCTCTCAAACAAAACAAAACAAAACAAACAAAACAAAACAAAACAAAACAAAACAAAAGACAGATTTCAGGAATGTTCTTAGTCTCTAGGTCTCTGCACCCGTCCATGATAATATTCATACCTAAGCTGGCTCCCTATGGTATATAAAAATACCAAACAAAGAAAGAGTATCCAGCCCTCACATTATACCAGGCTTAACAGAAAGTGGACATTAAAAGAAAAAAAGAAGAGAGAAGCAAAAACCAGTGTACCAGAATTCTAAGCAAAGGCAGGCATTTGTTGTGCTGTCACTAGCATATGTGATTTGCCCAGCTCAGACTGAATCACAAGGGTGACTGTAAAAAATAAAATGCATTAAGCATGATAATCTCATTTTTCATGAAATACTTAGGAAAATTTCCATGGATGGACTTGAAAGATACCAACATAACACTACTATTTTTTCACCTCTCTCATGCAAACAAATGCAATTAATACATTTTGACTGTTACTGTCTTAGTTCAATTCTGATTCATGTGGACATACCCCACATAAATACTTTAATGTAATTACAAAATAAATAAAATATGCATACACTCAAAAGTTCTTATAAGAAATATATCTAAAATTTTAATAATTGTAATATTACTACTGAATATCCTAGAGACATCTGTTCATTAAACATGCCTAACACGATGCAAGAGAGATATGACTGGGTTTCTGCATTGTTAATATGTTCTTAATCAAAAGCAGTAATAAATGGATCACCTTGCTGTCACCAGTTGTTTCTGTGCCCATTTCTTCCTCCAAAATGAGTGTGAGTATGGGAGAGGTAGAATAAGATGAATCTCCCAAGGAAACTAACTAAAAGTATATGTGTCATATCTGCACATTCTTTAGTATTGTTTTATGTAAAGCATTACAGAGATGCAGGAAAACACTCAGCTGATGCAAATATCTTGGTGCCCAATAATGTTTTACTTTAAAAATGTTCCAAGACTAGGACTAGGATAAAGAAAAGAAGTGATCTGTTTCATTGAACATGTGCTCTGATGGAGTTTTCAAGAAATCACAAGGTTCACAGAGCCTTTTGGAAGACATTAAAGAGAAATAGGAAATGAGAAACTGACTTATAATAAAGGATGAGAAAGGCAATATAGCATAAGTGGAGAGACAAAGAGCAGCACAGTAATTAAGAAGAAGCACTCACAGGTTTCCTGAGTCCAAATCTTTGCTCCATCCATTAATGACTGTGTGACTTTGAGTCAGTTACCATTACCTTCCTTTTTCATTCTTAAATGGTATGCAGTAATAACTACCACTTAAGTTGGTTTGTAGGAAATGGTGTGGTAAACATGGGTAGAGCCTAGGATTGTGGTTGACACATAAGGTGGGTAAAAATATTTAGTATTAATATTTAAGTTAATGGGGATAAAAATCAGGCAAATGTTTATGTTTTGACTTTGCGGTTTACTAGACGTGTATACCTAGTATAAACTCATGTGATTTTTTTTCATGCTTATTTTCTCAATTTGTAAAGTCTGGATAATAATATAATAGAAATCCTCATTGCTTGATGCTTACATTGCAAATTTAGTACATTACTTGAAAATTACACATAATCAGGATTACCCTAAAAAACCCCAATTTCTCTTGAAGTTCTCTAGACATGTATCAGTACATCCAAAATGCAATTTTCTCCTTCACTATTAAGAATTCAGCTGAATACTGAAGCATTAATATTTTTGAAAATATTAATAATTCATTAAGCAGCCTGTTGCATAGTCATACCATACAACAGCATAACATTCTTTAAACACTCTAATCACACACTGTCTTGAGAATTGATAGTTGAATTTGGATGAGCGTAAAAATAATGGGATCCTATTTTGTAAGTATATCTATTGTGTTTGTTTTTGTTTTTGTTTTCAAAATCTTTCTTTTTTAAATTAATTAATTTATTATTATTATACTTTAAGTTTTAGGGTACATGGGCACAATGTGCAGATTAGTTACATATGTATACATGTGCCATGCTGGTGCGCTGCACCCACTAACTCGTCATCTAGCATTAGGTATATCTCCCAATGCTATCCCTCCCCCCTACCCCCACCCCACAACAGTCCCCAGAGTGTGATGTTCCCCTTCCTGTGTCCATGTGTTCTCATTGTTCAATTCCCACCTATGAGTAAGAATATGCGGTGTTTGGTTTTTTGTTCTTGCAATAGTTTACTGAGAATGATGATTTCCAATTTCATCCATGTCCCTACAAAGGACATGAACTCATCATTTTTTATGGCTGCATAGTATTCCATGGTGTATATGTGCCACATTTTCTTAATCCAGTCTATCATCGTTGGACATTTGGGTTGGTTCCAAGTCTTTGCTATTGTGAATAATGCCACAATAAACATATGTGTGCATATGTCTTTATAGCAGCATGATTTATAGTCCTTTGGGTATATACCCAATAATGGGATGGCTGGGTCAAATGTTATATCTATTGTAAATAATTTGGGAGAAAAGTGTATTAGTCCATTCTCATGCTGCTAATAAAGACATACCTGAGACTGGGTAATTTATAAAGGAAAGAGGTTTAATTGACTCACAGTTCAGCCTCACTGGTTAGGCCTCAGAAAACTTAAAATCATGGCAAAAGTGGAAGCAAACACAACCTTCTTCACATGGAGGCAGCAAGGAGAAGTGCCTAGCAAAAGAGGTAAAGGCCCCTCATAAAACCATCGGATCTCATGAGAACTCACTCACTATTACAAGAACAGCATGAGGGTAACTGTGCTTGTGATTAAATTGCCTCCTACTGGTTCCCTCCCACAACACATAGGGATAATGGGAACTACAATTCAAGATGAGATTTGGTTGGGGACACAGCAAAATCATATCATTAAGCAAGAAAAATCTAAAAAGTTTCAATCCATTGAGTCTTCAAGATAGTTCCCCACTTGCAGTAATAACTTCAGGATATGTTGGTGGAAAAAAAATAATAGAAGGAGAAAATATAAGGATACAGTAAAAAATAATTGTAGTCTTGATTCATTGAAAACATTCCAAAAATAAAAACATGAGTCATAAGTAGGTCAGTTTTGAACAATAAAATCTCACTAAAAATTACTTAGCATAAAAAGTTCTTTTCTTGTGAAGTTTAAACAATACTTTTAAATTAAATATATTTCAAGCAAAGTAACTACATGTAGAGATAAATTATTTTCTCAAAAATAGAATGTAAATGATAGATTTTTATCATAACACATTATTATTTAACCTTATTACAAATATGTTATAACTAATAAGATAATAATGGCTGTATACACATTAAATTATTGAAGACTGGTTTTTATTAATTTTTATGAACAATAATTTTATACTATTAGAGTGTGAAAATTACAAAATTTATTTAATAGAGCTACTACTAACTTGGTACATTTGCTGTTGTATACAATATATATTAAGATATCCAATATTCACTTATGGTTCAATTACAATGTATATATTGTGTGTATGTGTGAATGTATACTTAAAAGTACCAACATATATTACACATAGAAAATTACTAGTTATTGACTCATACCATTTGACTATACCATCCTTTCTCTTCATCTCATTCATAGCATCTAGCAAAGGCAGTTTGCTCCAGCTCATGTGTTAACACAATTGGCACTTAGCTAATAGTCTTTGTTTCCATCTCAGGTCCTGGTACAATCCTGAATAATTATAATATGCAGATGCATATTCCTTTCAATTTCCTAGACTGCCAATTTCTTTCTGTATTCATGTCTAATAAATTGTTTTTTAATCTGTATAAACCCCCCTTCCCATGATTTTTTGGACCTTATCAGCTGTATTTTTTATGTCCAACATAATTAATTTACACATGGTTTTCTTCTATAATGTATAGTATGAAAAATACTGTTTTAAAAGTCCTTTAAATTTCATTGGGATCTTCACTGAATTGGGTCTACTACTTTTTCTTGGTACCGTCAACTGTCCTTTTCTCTCTCATAAAATCACCTACACTCTCTAAACTGGATTATTTTAAGCTGGCCTGAAACATGGTGTTCTCTCCACTTTTTTAAAAAGAAATTTTCCAACACAATCTCATGTATTTGTCCACATCCTATTTAAAATATATATATTATAAAACAGTCTCTATGTTCACCATTCTACCAAAAAACTTCCAAGTTCACCGATGCACTGGGTTATGCTATGTTCAATTCACATTTTTAAAGAACTCATCAGACACTTGAGCAGAATCTAGTGCTCTCTCCATGGTTTTTCATAGCATGACACATTTAGGCTTTTATCTAGTTCTCTGGCAATTTTTTCTATGTCTTTATTGCAAACTAATATGATCATTAAATATTGGCATTGCTCAATGACCAAACCAAGGTCTTAGTTTTTTTGTTTGCTTTTGTTTTGTTTTGTTTGTCATACTACGTGATATCCTTAGGGATGTTATCATACAGTATTCACTTGGACCAATCTGCATCATCCCCACGAGACTCAGAAGATGAAGAGAGCTGATGCAACCGTAAAGCTCATGCGGCTTGCTGAATTAGAAGAAATCTAATTCCTATCTCTTACCCAGGAGTCTTCCGTGGTCTGCCAGTATTCATGAAACTGTGACAGGCTAACATATTTTCTGGCAACTAAGGTGAACATCTCACACGTTTCATAGTTTTTGGGAAAAATACATAAAGTAATAATCAAAGCAACTTCCTAGAACATATGACTGGAAAGTTTTGCCTATCTGTAATTATTTTAAATATTGTCTATATAGATATGAAGAAAAAATACACACACACACACACACCACACTTAGAATAACAAAACATTCGTTGAATTTGAAGTAGGTAGAAGTAGCTGGAGTAAGAACCACATTTTTTTTCACTTACAATATTTCTGAGAGCTTAATAACTTAATTACACATAGGAAGGAGCATATATTTCACCTACATTATATATGTATATAGGTAATTTGCAAAGATTAAACTAGTTGCTTCTAATTTCTTTCAACTAAAAGCCATTTGTTAGAAAGCACAGTAGGCAAACAATGTTACTCCAAAAGTGCATAAAATTTTATACAATAAACAGGTAGTATTTTCTTTTTCTAATTTATAAATTTATAAATCAATTGAGCTGAGGATGCAAAACATAAATAATAGTAAAATTGATAGTGCTGTAAAATAAATGGTCAGTTGTGTTACATGTATAGACTAAGAAAGCTTGAAATTATTATTTCTAGCATGAAAGTCTAGAAGAATCTTTCTTGGTCAGGTGGGTTTGAATCATCTGATCTGTGGTCATGCCGACCTGTATTTATTTGCATAGTTCACCTATTTGTATACATGATGTGTAATAGCACATATATTCATTACAAGGTTTTGTTTGTATATTTAGTATACTTAACCTGCCTTACTGTTATGCATGTTATATTGATGAAACATAACATGTTTGTTTAAACTTATATTGATTTTTAAATCAACACTGATTTTGAACAGAGCTTTCCTCACGAGCTTCAACTTAATTTATATTGATTTTTTTGACTTTGTGATGTACAGCAACTTGTATTTTTCCTATTATAGACCAAAGAAATAAAATGTATTCAATATGTAATGTTATTTGCAATTTAACTATAACCAATTTTTGATTTCCCAAATTAATTCTTAACATTTATATAAAATTACATTTTAGACAATTTTAAAATATTAGTATTTGCAATCTATTTATAGATGCTGAACTTCGTCAGAAAGGGAGCCTGGCAGTCTGGCTAACTTTAAAAAAATATGGGGCTAAACATTAACTCTATGAAGCTATGGATATAAATCAAGCCTTATTCCAAAATTAAAATTTAGATGTGATTTATAATTGATAATAAAGATAATACAACCAAAATTGCATCTCATTGGTCTCCACACACTTGAAAACTCCATATCCAGTTTTCTATAAAATTCCTACTTTATTGCTTAAGATAATCTGAAATTACCAATATAAAGAGCTGGAGTCAAAGATTGTTGCTAGTAAAAATAGTATTTATTTATTTTTGTAACTTATTTTATTTGATCTGTTCAATCTGAGACAATTATTAGAAATTGTGTGTATGTGAGAGAATTTATTATACATTGAATGATTAGTTAAATTAAAATGGTATTTGTGCTCTCAGATTTTGCAGTTTAGTGGTAGAGATAAATTTAAACAATGTTTCATTGTATTAAGTAAAACAAAAATGTAAAGTTTTAAGTGTGATAAGTGCTGAGAGAAGAATAAGTATATTTGTTGTTAAATAAATATCACATAAATAGTTTGGTTTAGATCATGGGTTTAAATTCAGATGCTCAAATTCTGCAGAAATCGTCCTCCAGTACTGTAATGTGTGGATCTCATTTTAAGTAGCTATTGATGAAGGAGAAAGGGGTATTGATTCCAAATAGAGGGAATAGCATGAAATATCACTGCAATGGGTATGGGTGTTCCTGCATGTACGTAGTCACTATGTTTTTAAAAGTAAAGAATGACTTGGAAGAGCCCAAAACTGAGTGATGGGAGATTGATTTTAGAGTTATTTTTGCAAATCAGTTAAGCAATGGTGGTAGCTTGGATATGGAGTGAAGTTAATAGAAACGAATGGTGTGTGTCTGTTTGCATGCACATCGATGCCTGTGCATGGGTGAGTGTATGTATCAAAATAAGACAGGGAAACTGATCATTAGACATGGACGGTGACAGAGAAAGAAAATTAAAATTGAATTGCTAAGGTTAAGGTTTGCCTAACTGAATATTTAGCAGGGCTGTAAACTGAACTGGAGAAAGTAAATAAACTTGAACAGGGATGATTATGAGTTTTGTCTTTGGAAATTCTTGGTTGGAATTTTTGTTTGTTTGTTTTGAGACTTCAAGAGAGCTATAAGTTCACAACCACTTATTTCACTTTTGGAAGTTAGAAATTCCCGGAAAATCAAATGAATTTTTCCTAAAAAAATTGTAGAAATTTATTTGGCAGCAAAAAGCTGATTTAAACTACATGAGGCTCTATAGGATTTTTGTTGTTGTTTTTGTTGTGTATTTCATAATTAAGCTGACTTAATGCAAATATTTACAAATTTGGGGTTTTTCCATGTGACAGTTGTAATGTTTCATAACACCTCATGTATAGGTCTTTTTAAAATCCAAAAACTATCTATTTTTTAAGCACAAAGAGCACCAATTGTTTCAGATAAAGGACATAATCCACATAGCATAACAGTTGTGTTTGCAGCTCTGGAGCATAAATACAAAAGCAAGGCTGTAGGAACAAACTTGTGATTTATGTGCCACAGGCAGGGAAGGGCACATGGAATAGCAAGAAAACAAGATTAAATATAAAGAATTGCAGAACCACAAGCTCTAAAGCCTTATTAGAGAAGAATAATACTGCAGAGAAAATTAAAGGGGGTAGTCAGACTGGCAAGAAAAGTGTCAGTAAAGAGGAGTTTGCAAAAGAGAAATAAATTGTTGCAACATGAAGGGAATAGTTCATTTTTTAAACTGGATTACTACCTTTTTGCTATTGAGCTGTAAGAGTTCCTTGTATATTTTGGTTATTAAGCCCTTAACAGATATATGGTTTGCAATATTTTCCTCTATTCTTTATGTTGCTTTTACGCTCCATTAATTGCTTCTTTTTTGTTTAGTAAATTTTTATTTTCCTGTTGTCCCACTTGTCCATTTTCACTTCTGTTATCTGTATTTTTGGTGTCATATCCAAGAAATTATTGCCAAGATCAATATCATTAGTTTTTTGTTTTTGTTTTTGTTTTCCCCTGTGATTTCCAACAGGTGTATGAAAAGATGGTCAACATCACTGTATTAGTCCATTTTCAAGTTACTGATAAAGACGTATCTAAGACTGGGCAATTTACAAAAGAAAGAGGTTTAATGGACTCACAGTTCCATGTGCTGAGGAGGCCTCACAATCATGCTGGAAGCTGAAAGGCATATCTCACATGGCGGCAGACAAGAGATGACAGCTTCTGCAGTTAAACTGCCCTTTATAAAACCATCAGAGCTCACGAGACTTATGCACTATCATGATAATAGCACGGGAAAGACTGGCCCTTTTGATTCAATTATCTCCAACCAGATCCCTTTCGCAATATGTGGGAATTATGCAAGCTACAATTCAAGATGAGATTTGGGTGGGGACACAGCCAAACTGTGTCAATCACTAATCATCAGGGAAATGCAAATCAAAACCACAACATCACCTCACACCTGTTAGGACAGTTATTACATATATGTGACATATATTTACATATATTTTAAATGTATACAGATCCAAATATACATAAAGATATATATAGTTACATATAGACACATATATATGTGTATATAGACACGTGTGTGTGTGTTTATATATATACACACACACACATATATATATGAATATATGTAACAGAAAAACACACAAATGTTGGCCAGGATGTGGAACCATTGTACAGTGTTTGTGGAAATGCAAACTGGTACAGCCACAGTGGAAAACAGTATGGAGGTTCCTTAAAAAAATAAAAATTGAACTACCATACAATCCAGCAATACTACTGAAGTGTAATTTTCCAAAATAGTTCAAATCAGGATCTCAAAGAGAAATTATAACTCTCATGTTAAAGACAGCACTATTCACAAGCACCAAGGATGTGGAAACAATCTGAATGTCCATTTTTAACATCATATCTATATGCAATGAAACATTATTCACTCTTTAAAAAGAAAGAAATCTTGCCATGTGCAACAACATGAGTGAAGCTTGAGCACTTTAAGCTAAGTGAAATAAGACTGCCACAGAAAAAATGCTGCATGATTCCACTTATATGAGACATCTAAAATAGTCAAACTTCTATAAGTAGAGAGTTAAATGGTGGTTGCAAGTGTTGACAAGAAAAGAGGAAACAGGAAGTTGCCAAACATTGGGCATAAAGTTTCAGTTATGTAAGATGAAACAAGTTCTAGAAATCTGCTGTACAACATTGTGTCTCGAGCTAATGCTGTACACATATTGAATACTTAAAAATCTGTTAAGAGAGTACATCTTGTATTGGTAATTGTTCTTATCACAGCAAAATTAAAAAGTAAGAAAAAAGGAATAGTCAGCACAGTTTTATATTGGTTGGAAGTCAAGGAATTGAGGATTTTGAAATGTATGATGAGGTAACAATTATTAGCTCGATGAAAGCCAGTTCAGGGTAGTGATGAGAAATGAGGCAGACTGGCAGTATGAATGGCAAGATAATAATTTAATATTTTAATGTGAACAATATCCATAAAGACCTCACAGTGCAAAATTTTCTTTCTCAAGTCTAGCTTGCTTCCTGTCCAAGTCTAGCTTGCTTCTTGTTCCTCTCTGGGACAAGGAGCAAGCTAGACTTGAGGAACAAAATTTTGTCATGTTATACAATTGTATTGTAGAATTAAAGGAATCAAAATGACTTCTTTTGTTATCATTAGCATTGTGATGACAGCAAATGTTTTCAATGTATTTAACTAAGACAACTTTAACTATTTTTCAATTGAATTTTTACTACAAAATTTACCATAATGAAAGATATGCCTCCTTTAAGGATTAAAAAACCTAAATCTCATAAATAATCATTAATTTTACTGCAGTGGTGAGGTGTGCATTTAAATTAAGGTCTGTTTAAATCTAATATAACTATTCTCCCACTAAATACACTGCATTTCTTTTAGACCTCAAGCATGTGCTGGTATTGATATGTATATAATATACAAAAAATAATTACAAATATTGTATTGCTATTTTACAAAGCATATTATTTCTGCAATTTCTGGCTATATCATACCTTAGATAATCCTCCAGGGATTTATAGTAATCTTTTCATACTGTTAGTTGTTGAAATGAATATCACAGCATCATTGTAAACTATATTTAAAATTTGTTACAGTCTAAAATTATAAAGTATTTTGGATTAAATAATTGTGTATACTACCAGAGAAATATAGTTATTGCATATTTAATGAAGATATTTTCAAAAAGAGTTTTTTAAACATCGTAGCCTTTTCCTGGAGCTGGCTATTTGATTGGGGAATATATATACATAGACACACGCATATATATGAAGATATATTTAAAATAAAATAAGTTAAACAGAAAATACGTTAATACTTTTCGTTCTGTTTGGATCAGTATAACCAAGACATTTAATTAATATAACTCCAGCTTCCCCAGGTAATAATTAACTTTAGTCTTTTTGGAGCACTAACATTATGAAATGATGAGAAATGTTGAAATAGTAAAATTGCATTATATTTAAATGTCTTTATTGATATTTTCAGCACTTTAAAAAAATTAGTAAGTCTTATTTTTCACTGTGAAATTTATTAAATTGTATATGTTTTTAGTTAAACCCCTCTTAAAAAGCATCATCAGGGATTTTGTTGTTTTGGTTTAGCAATGATAAAATACTTTTTGTGTATAGTGATTCTATTCATTTTTTAACAAAGAAGGAATACAGTAAGTATTCTACTATCCTTTGTTATTTTTAGTTTTTTTTACATTGACAGATAAATGTATTTACCATGTATAACATGATGTTTTGAAGTATATATACTTTGTTGAATAACTACATCTAGCTAATTAATATATGCATTATCTCACATGGCTATCCCTTTTGTGATAAGAACACTTTACGTCCACCCTCAGTATCTTTTAAGAATACAATATATTATTAACTATAGTTACCATCTTTTAAAATATATCTCTTGAGTTTATTTCTACCATCTAAATGAATTTTTTTGATTTTTTGACCAACATCTTCTCTATCTTGCTCCCAACCATCCCATACCCTGGTAACTACCTACCATTCTATTATTTACGTCTATGAGATCAACTAGTTTAGATTTCACATGTTAAGTCAAGATTAGCCTAAAATTCCTCCTTACCATTTTAAGTTTGGCCTAAAGGTTTTTCTGTACATTGTGAACTATAACCTAAATGGAGTTGTATACAGACTGTATTCCACTCCTGTGCCAATTACTGAATTTTAGCCAATCAAAGGTAGCCAGTTGCTCAAATCATGTTCAAATAAGGCAAATGCTGAGCTGTAAGCAATCCGGCTGTTTCTGTACCTCACTTCCATTTTCGTCACATTCCTTTTTCTGTCGGTAAATTTTCTTCTACCATGTAGCTGCACTGGAGTCTCAGAGCTTACTCAGCCTCTGGAGACTGCTGGATTTGTGAATTGTTATTCACTCAATTAACTCTTTTAAATTTAATTTGGCTAAAGTTGTTTCTTTTAACACACATTTGAGTGAAATTATGCAACATTTTTCTTTCTCTGCTTACCTTATTTCACTCAGCATAATGTTTTCCAGGTTCATTCATGTTGCAAATGACAGGATTTTGATATTTTTTATGGCCGTTTATTATTCCATTTTGTATATATTCCATGTTTTCTTTATCCACTCAGCCACTGATGGACATTTGGACTGATTCCATGTCTTGGCTATGGAGAATAAAAATGCAGTTAACGTGAGAGTGTACATGTCTCTTTAAAATATTGACTTTATTTCCCTTAAATACATGCCCAGTACTGAGAGATTGCTAGATAATATGATAGTTCTATCTTTAATTCTTTTTTTTTTTTTTTTTTTTGAGACAGAGTCTTGCTCCGTACCCCAGGCTGGAGTGCAGTGGCGTGATCTCGGCTCACTGCAAGCTCCGACTCCCGGGTTCATGCCATTCTCCTGCCTCAGCCTCCCGAGTAGCTGGGACTACAGGTGCCCGCCACCACACCTGGCTAATTTTTTGTATTTTTAGTAGAGACGGGGTTTCACCGTGTCAGCCAGGATGGTCTCGATCTACTGACTTCGTGATCTGCCCGCCTTGGCCTCCCAAAGTGCTGGGATTACAGGCGTGAGCCACTGCACCCAGCTAGTTCTATCTTTAATTCTTTTGAGAAACTGTCATATAGGTTTTAATAATGGCGGCTCTAATTTCTATTCCTACTAACGATGTGCAAGGGTTTCCTTTTCTCCAAATTCTAACCAATATTCTTTGTTTCTTAAAAAAAATTTGTGTCAGCATTTTTGTTATGTTTGTCAGTAAACCATATTCTTAAAATACATTTTTACAAATGTAGTCTCATAAGTATTAACAGATTTTAAAATCTGGAAATTATTTTAATAAGATTTTAAAAATCTGAGCATTTAAAAAAATTTGAGCATATATATATGTGTGTATATATATATGTATATATACACTGTGATGTATATACACATCACAGTGACTTCAGTGGAATCTGAGTCCTAGGCTTTTGCATACATTTACAAAAACAATATTGCGATAGTTGTTTTTTTATTTTTCCATTTTTTGAGATGGAGTCTCACTGTGTATCCCAGCCTGGAGTGCAGTGGGGCGAATTTGGCTCATTGCCACCTGTGCCTACTGGACTCAAGCAATCCTTCCACCTCAGCCTCACAAGTAGCTGGGACTACAGGCACACACCACCATACTCCCAGGCTCATGTAACCTGCCTGCCTCGGCCTCCCAAAGTGCTGGGATTACAAGTGTGAGCCACTGCACCTTGCCTATTTTTCCAATTTTTCCAATTTTATAAAAAGAGTCCAAATTTTTAAAAATGATAGTAAATAGATAACATGTCATACATCATCATTAGTAATAAAAATTATAAATAATATTTATAATTAAGAACCATTGTGGATGTGTGACCAGAGGTGTTTGTGATATTTGGATTATATAATTAAATAGAACATATTTCTCACAGATGTGTTCAAACCTCTGCTCATAGCTTACTCCTCTATCCATATTCTTCATCTCTTTGGTATTCCAGTTCTCTTTCATTTTCTACAGATTCATATTTTTTTGAACCTTTATTTGTAAGATTACTTCTCACAGAAAAAAGAAACTACTTTAAATGCACATTTCACTCTTGCTCCCTTTCCTTTTTAATTTTATTTTACTTTTGTATTTATATTGTTCTCAGGAAGTCATTTTTGATCCCTTTCTATATTTCCTTTTTCTGTCTTGAAAAAGTGACCAAAATTATCCTTAATTTAACTTTTATCTTCTCTCAATTGAAATATAGATTCTCCTCTACTTATTGCATTATTGTTACATCGAATGACTCTTTTTTTTTTCAAGTTAACTTAGGTTTTTATTTTTTTTTATTTTTATTATTATTATTTTTTATTTATTTATTTTTTTAAATTATACTTTAAGTTTTAGGGTATATGTGCACATTGTGCAGGTTAGTAACATATGTATACCTGTGCCATGCTGGTGCGCTGCACCCACTAACTCGTCATCTAGCATTAGGTATATCTCCCAATGCTATCCCTCCCCCCTACCCCCACCCCACAACAGTCCCCAGAGTGTGATATTCCCCTTCCTGTGTCCATGTGATCTCATTGTTCAAGTCCCACCTATGAGTGAGAATATGCGGTGTTTGGTTTTTTGTTCTTGCGATAGTTTACTAAGAATGATGATTTCCAATTTCATCCATGTCCCTACAAAGGACATGAACTCATCATTTTTTATGGCTGCATAGTATTCCATGGTATATATGTGCCACATTTTCTTAATCCAGTCTATCATTGTTGGACATTTGGGTTGGTTCCAAGTCTTTGCTATTGTGAATAATGCCGCAATAAACATACGTGTGCATGTGTCTTTATAGCAGCATGATTTATAGTCCTTTGGGTATATACCCAGTAATGGGATGGCTGGGTCAAATGGTATTTCTAGTTCTAGATCCCTGAGCAATCGCCACACTGACTTCCACAATGGTTGAACTAGTTTACAGTCCCACCAACAGTGTAAAAGTATTCCTATTTCTCCACATCCTCTCCAGCACCTGTTGTTTCCTGACTTTTTAATGATTGCCATTCTAACTGGTGTGAGATGGTATCTCATTGTGGTTTTGATTTGCATTTCTCTGATGGCCAGTGATGATGAGCATTTTTTCATGTGTTTTTTGGCTGCATAATAAATGTCTTCTTTTGAGAAGTGTCTATTCATGTCCTTCGCCCACTTTTTGATGGGGTTGTTTGTGTTTTTTTTGTAAATTTGTTTGAGTTCATTGTAGATTCTGGATATTAGCCCCTTGTCAGATGAGTAGGTTGCGAAAATTTTCTCCCATTTTGTAGGTTGCCTGTTCACTCTGATGGTAGTTTCTTTTGCTGTGCAGAAGCTCTTGAGTTTAATTAGATCCCATTTGTCAATTTTGTCTTTTGTTGCCATTGTTTTTGGTGTTTTGGACATGAAGTCCTTGCCCATGCCTATGTCCTGAATGGTAATGCCTAGGTTTTCTTCTAGGGTTTTTATGGTTTTAGGTCTAACATTTAAGTCTTTAATCCATCTTGAATTGATTTTTGTATAAGGTGTAAGGAAGGGATCCAGTTTCAGCTTTCTACATATGGCTAGCCAGTTTTCCCAGCACCATTTATTAAATAGGGAATCCTTTCCCCATTGCTTGTTTTTCTCAGGTTTGTCAAAGATCAGATAGTTGTAGATATGCGTCGTTATTTCTGAGGGCTCTGTTCTGTTCCATTGATCTATATCTCTGTTTTGGTATGAGTACCATGCTGTTTTGGTTACTGTAGCCTTGTAGTATAGTTTGAAGTCAGGTAGTGTGATGCCTCCAGCTTTGTTCTTTTGGCTTAGGATTGCCTTGGCGATGCAGGCTCTTTTTTGGTTCCATATGAACTTTAAAGTAGTTTTTTCCAATTCTGTGAAGAAAGTCATTGGTAGCTTTATGGGGATGGCATTGAATCTGTAAATTACCTTGGGCAGTATGGCCATTTTCATGATATTGATTTTTCCTACCCATGAGCATGGAATGTTCTTCCATTTGTTTGTATCCTCTTTTATTTCCTTGAGCAGTGGTTTGTAGTTCTCCTTGAAGAGGTCCTTCACATCCCTTGTAAGTTGGATTCCTAAGTATTTTATTATCTTTGAAGCAATTGTGAATGGGAGTTCACTCATGATTTGGCTCTCTGTTTGTTTGTTGTTGGTGTATAAGAATGCTTGTGATTTTTGTACATTGATTTTGTATCCTGAGACTTTGCTGAAGTTGCTTATCAGCCTAAGGAAATTTTGGGCTGAGACAATGGGGTTTTCTAGATATACAGTCATGTCGTCTGCAAACAGGGACAATTTGACTTCCTCTTTTCCTAATTGAATACCCTTTATTTCCTTCTCCTGCCTAATTGCCCTGGCCAGAAATTCCAACAATATGTTTAATAGGAGTGGTGAGAGAGGGCATCCCTGTCTTGTGCCAGTTTTCAAAGGGAATGCTTCCAGTTTTTGTCCATTCAGTATGATATTGGCTGTGGGTTTGTCATAGATAGCTCTTATTATTTTGAAATACGTCCCATCAATACCTAATTTATTGAGAGTTTTTAGCATGAAGCGTTGTTGAATTTTGTCAAAGGCTTTTTCTGCATCTATTGAGATAATCATGTGGTTTTTGTCTTTGGCTCTGTTTATATGCTGGATTACATTTATTGATTTGCGTATATTGAACGAGCCTTGCATCCCAGGGATGAAGCCCACTTGATCATGGTGGATAAGCTTTTTGATGTGCTGCTGGATTCGGTTTGCCAGTATTGTATTGAGGATTTTTGCATCAATGTTCATCAAGGATATTGGTCTAAAATTCTCTTTTTTGGTTGTGTCTCTGCCCGGCTTTGGTATCAGAATGATGCTGACCTCATAAAATGAGTTAGGGAGGATTCCCTCTTTTTCTATTGATTGGAATAGTTTCAGAAGGAATGGTACCAGTTCCTCCTTGTACCTCTGGTAGAATTCAGCTGTGAATCCATCTGGTCCTGGACTCATTTTGGTTGGTAAACTATTGATTATTGCCACAATTTCAGCTCCTGTTATTGGTCTATTCAGAGATTCAACTTCTTCCTGGTTTAGTCTTGGGAGAGTGTATGTGTCGAGGAATTTATCCATTTCTTCTAGATTTTCTAGTTTATTTGCATAGAGGTGTTTGTAGTATTCTCTGATGGTAGTTTGTATTTCTGTGGGATCGGTGGTGATATCCCCTTTATCATTTTTTATTGTGTCTATTTGATTCTTCTCTCTTTTTTTCTTTATTAGTCTTGCTAGCGGTCTATCAATTTTGTTGATCCTTTCAAAAAACCAGCTCCTGGATTCATTAATTTTTTGAAGGGTTTTTTGTGTCTCTATTTCCTTCAGTTCTGCTCTGATTTTAGTTATTTCTTGCCTTCTGCTAGCTTTTGAATGTGTTTGCTCTTACTTTTCTAGTTCTTTTAATTGTGATGTTAGGGTGTCAATTTTGGATCTTTCCTGCTTTCTCTTGTGGGCATTTAGTGCTATAAATTTCCCTCTACACACTGCTTTGAATGCATCCCAGAGATTCTGGTATGTTGTGTCTTTGTTCTCGTTGGTTTCAAAGAACATCTTTATTTCTGCCTTCATTTCGTTATGTATCCAGTAGTTATTCAGGAGCAGGTTGTTCAGTTTCCATGTAGTTGAGCGGTTTTGAGTGAGATTCTTAATCCTGAGTTCTAGTTTGATTGCACTGTGGTCTGAGAGATAGTTTGTTATAATCTCTGTTCTTTTACATTTGCTGAGGAGAGCTTTACTTCCAAGTATGTGGTCAATTTTGGAATAGGTATGGTGTGGTGCTGAAAAAAATGTATATTCTGTTGATTTGGGGTGGAGAGTTCTGTAGATGTCTATTAGGTCCGCTTGGTGCAGAGCTGAGTTCAATTCCTGGGTATCCTTATTGACTTTCTGTCTCGTTGATCTGTCTAATGTTGACAGTGGGGTGTTAAAGTCTCCCATTATTAATGTGTGGGAGTCTAAGTCTCTTTGTAGGTCACTCAGGACTTGTTTTATGAATCAGGGTGCTACTGTATTGGGTGCATACATATTTAGGATAGTTAGCTCTTCTTGTTGAATTGATCCCTTTACCATTATGTAATGGCCTTCTTTGTCTCTTTTGATCTTTGTTGGTTTAAAGTCTGTTTT
This sequence comes from Homo sapiens, assembly GCF_000001405.40. Classification (NCBI taxonomy): domain Eukaryota; kingdom Metazoa; phylum Chordata; class Mammalia; order Primates; family Hominidae; genus Homo; species Homo sapiens. Next base: position 89,090,109 of record NC_000013.11, on the reverse strand, counting down.
ATCAGAGACTAGGATTGCAACCCCTGCCTTTTTTTGTTTTCCATTTGCTTGGTAGATCTTCTTCCATCCTTTTATTTTTAGCCTATGTGTGTCTCTGCACGTGTGATGGGTTTCCTGAATACAGCACACTGATGGGTCTTGACTCTTTATCCAATTTGCCAGTCTGTATCTTTTAATTGGAGCATTTAGTCCATTTACATTTAAAGTTAATATTGTTATGTGTGAATCTGATCCTGTCATTATGATGTTAGCTGGTGATTTTGCTCGTTAGTTGATGCAGTTTCTTCCTAGTCTCGATGGTCTTTACATTTTGGCATGATTTTGCAGCGGCTGGTACCAGTTGTTCCTTTCCATGTTTAGCACTTCCTTCAGGAGCTCTTTTAGGGCAGGCCTGGTGGTGACAAAATCTCTCAGCATTTGCTTGTCTGTAAAGTATTTTATTTCTCCTTCGCTTATGAAGCTTAGTTTGGCTGGATATGAAATTCTGGGTTGAAAATTCTTTTCTTTAAGAATGTTGAATATTGGCCCCCACTCTCTTCTTGCTTGTAGGGTTTCTGCTGAGAGATCCGCTGTTAGTCTGATGGGCTTCCCTTTGAGGGTAACCCGACCTTTCTCTCTGGCTGTCCTTAACATTTTTTCCTTCATTTCAACTTTGGTGAATCTGACAATTATGTGTCTTGGAGTTGCTCTTCTCGAGGAGTATCTTTGTGGCGTTCTCTGTATTTCCTGAATCTGAACGTTGGCCTGCCTTGCTAGATTGGGGAAGTTCTCCTGGATAATATCCTTCAGAGTGTTTTCCAACTTGGTTCCATTCTCTCCATCACTTTCAGGTACACCAATCAGACGTAGATTTGGTCTTTTCACATAGTCCCATATTTCTTGGAGGCTTTGCTTATTTCTTTTTATTCTTTTTTCTCTAAACTTCCCTTCTCGCTTCATTTCATTCATTTCATCTTCCATTGCTGATACCCTTTCTTCCAGTTGATCGCATCCGCTCCTGAGGCTTCTGCATTCTTCATGTAGTTCTCGAGCCTTGGTTTTCAGCTCCATCAGCTCCTTTAAGCACTTCTCTGTATTGGTTATTCTAGTTATATATTCTTCTAAATTTTTTTCAAAGTTTTCAACTTCTTTGCCTTTGGTTTGAATGTCCTCCCGTAGCTCAGAGTAATTTGATCATCTGAAGCCTTCTTCTCTCAGCTCGTCAAAGTCATTCATTCTCCATCCAGCTTTGTTCCGTTGCTGGTGAGGAACTGCATTCCTTTGGAGGAGGAGAGGCCCTCTGCTTTTTAGAGTTTCCAGTTTTTCTGTTCTGTTTTTTCCCCATCTTTGTGGTTTTATCTACTTTTGGTCTTTGATGATGGTGATGTACAGATGGGTTTTTGGTGTGGATGTCCTTTCTGTTTGTTAGTTTTCCTTCTAACAGACAGGACCCTCAGCTGCAGGTCTGTTGGAATACCCTGCCGTGTGAGGTGTCAGTGTGCCCTTGCTGGGGGGTGCCTCCCAGTTAGGCTGCTCGGGGGTCAGGGGTCAGGGACCCACTTGAGGAGGCAGTCTGCCCATTCTCAGATCTCCAGCTTTGTGCTGGGAGAACCACTGCTCTCTTCAAAGCTGTCAGACAGGGACATTTAAGTCTGCAGAGGTTACTGCTGTCTTTTTGTTTGTCTGTGCCCTGCCCCCAGAGGTGGAGCCTACAGAGGCAGGCAGGCCTCCTTGAGCTGTGGTGGGCTCCACCCAGTTCGAGCTTCCCTGCTGCTTTGTTTACCTAAGCAAGCCTGGGCAGGGCAGGCGCCCCTCCCCCAGTCTGGCTGCCGCCTTGCAGTTTGATCTCAGACTGCTGTGCTAGCAATCAGCGAGAGTCCGTGGGCGTAGGACCCTCCGAGCCAGGTGTGGGATATAATCTCGTGGTGCGCCGTTTTTTAAGCCGGTCCGTAAAGCTCAATATTTGGGTGGGAGTGACCCGATTTTCCAGGTGCGTCCGTCACCCCTTTCTTTGACTCGGAAAGGGAACTCCCTGACCCCTTGCGCTTCCCAAGTGAGGCAGTGCCTCGCCCTGCTTCGCGCACGGTGCACGCACCCACTGACCTGCGCCCACTGTCTGGCACTCCCTAGTGAGATGAAACCGGTACCTCAGATGGAAATGCAGAAATCACCCGTCTTCTGCGTCGCTCACGCTGGGAGCTGTAGACCGGAGCTGTTCCTATTCGGCCATCTTGGCTCCTCCCTCAAATGACTATCTCTAATTTCTCATTTGGCTTGATATATCTGGAGCATTTAACATACTTGACCCATTTCTCCTTCTTGAAATGTTTATTCCATTGTGTTTTTTAATGCCATTTTTTTCTGTTTTTTTTTATCGTTATATTCTCTTCTTACCCACCCTAATTGTCCTTTCTTTTTTTGTGTGTCTTGTTTTCTATTGATTTCCTTAATAGACTAGTGTCTGAGAATTTTGTTTTATGCTTCTTCTTTTCAAAAAAAAGTTGGAGGAGCTTACATCATCTTTGATGTCTTTAATAACTTTTTTATAGTGAGCTTTTCATACATATATTTGCTTTCAAATCTCTTTCAAAATCTAAAACCATATATTTCACATCCTGTGCAATACATATTCATGGAAGTCTCAATGGCACCAAATCTCAGCATGTATAAAGTTATAAAGTGGACTTACCAATGTTGTCTTTACAGTGGCTCTTTCTCTAACATTTCTTTGTACAAGTCACCACCATCATTCTGGCTAACCAAAGAAGAAAAAAAGATATTAGGTTTTATTTATCATTCATACTCATTCCATTTGACTGCAAAATCTTCTTATTTAAGACTTTTTCTTTTCTTTTCTTTTTCTTTTTCTTTTCTTTTTTTTCTTTGAGATGGAGTCCTGCTCTGTCACCCAGGCTGGAGTGCAATGGTGCAATCTCAGCTTACTGCAACTTCTGACTACCGGGTTCAAGCAATTCTCTTCCCTCAGCCTCCTGAGTAGCTGGGATTACACGCCTGTCACCACGCCCGGCAAATTTTTTGTGTGTTTTTAGTAGAGACAGGGTTTTGCCACGTTGGTCAGGCTGGTCTTGAACTCCTGACCTCGGGTGATCTGCCCGCCTTGGCCTCCCAAAATGCTGTTTGGCTTGAGCCACCACGCCCAGCCAAAATCTTCCTATTTAAGACTTTTACATTAAGTTGGTTCTTTTTCATCCCAGGGGCCTATGATTTAATCTAGGACAGCTTCACCATCTGAGTAGGTTATTAAAATATCTTTATTACATTACAGTAGTAACTGATCTCCATTATTAAAGGGTTCTAAGCAAATTTTTCTGTCTTCCTGATGAATATTTCTGAAGCAAATATCTGATCAAATCCCATCCTTGATTAAAATATTTTAGCATTTCCTTGCTTACTCGAATACGAAAAGTAACTTTAATCCTGTAAGTTATTTTCCATATTGACCTAGTTATGAAGATGGTGTATCTGTTTTTTCTAGTACTCCTATTCTCTTAAATAAACAGATTTATCCTCTTGATCCCAATTTAATTAATATTTATTGGGAATAATTTTTTTATTTGTACTGAGAAAGACCAGATTTGTTTCACATCACACATACTCTTACTAGACTTCATATTCAATATGGTTGCTTTCTTATCCTAGTAGAAATCTTTCATTTAAAACTAGACACCCTGTCCCATTTATCTTTTTATTCCTGGAGCCTAGATGTTTGTTTGGCACATAATGAATGCCCCACATATTCTTGCATGATGAATGGTGTAAATCCTATCCATTGCATTGAGTTGTGCATACACACTAGTTAACCACAAAGGACACAACATTTAAAAATATATAGTCAAATTACATATAAATACACATACATATATATGTAAATCAAAAGATAATGAAGGAAGATACTAAACCAGTATTTTGTTTTACAATATATAATCAAAAAAGACAAAGCATAGCAATATATGTTAATTATTTTACCATGTGTATTATGGGCAAGTTTTATTTTAGGAAAACTATATTTTAAATAAAAGTACCAAATTTATAATTTTAGGGATATTGCTCTATTCTCTAGTGTATTTCACAAGTTAACCCGAGAGAATGTAATAAATTGATCATAAGGTATTTCGAAAGTTCCTCTCTTTTTTAAGGTTATACATGAGCATATTTAATTGTGTGTTTGTGATTATATTTAATCATGTGTGTCTGAGCAGATCAAATACATGCAGATTTATATCTTGCTTGAATAGTCAGAGAGTAGGGATGGGTGTTACTTTTGTTTAATAAAACAGAAATAACTCTCTAAGTATTATGGATTAACGGGATTTAATATTGAGGCTAAGAGGCTTACTAGCTCATTGAAAGGGCAAGATGAGCAAAGGACGAATTAACATTTGTCTGGAGCAGAATCCAGCACTCTCTAGTATGACAGAATATCATCTGCAGTGGAAAATCTCAGAAATTGCTGGAAAAACCACTTCATTCACTTGCCAATTCCCACATGCCTATTTGTCATTGTTCTCCTGAATTATAGAGCTTTATTTTCACCTTCCAAACATCCTGTGGTATTGCTGTCATCCTGTGAGTACTGCTCATTGGTGAATGTAACTCAGAAAGCCGATAGCAGTGATTCTCATAATATCAGTCCGTGTTTTCAGTACTTTCTAGAAAGGGAACAGTGTAGACAGAAAGAATCCCTGCTACCTACCAAAGACATTCAGATACAGTCAACCCTTTGAGTACTCAGTAACTCTTCATATGAAACTTCTACTAATGCTAGTTGCAACAGCAGCCATTCTGACTCAAATAATCCACCAATCCATTGAACAAAAAGATACATTCTCCCTTTTCCCACAACAAAGATCCAGTTCCCATTAATCTCTTTATCTACCTTATGATTTTTATTTCTTTTCAAGTATATATAGAATCCCTATTTAAGATTTTAACCGTAATGATTAGGACTTTATCTTGTAACTTGATATTTTATAACTAACCTAATGCAATGTACCTTATATAAAAGAATAAAAAAGTAGCAGTGGAAAACATGTCAGCTCATATATATAAATACAAATTGCAACAATTCATATGGGCATTCTTATCATTTTTTTCTCTCCTCTCTCCCTCCTTCTTCCTTCTCCTCCTTTTCATTTTCTCCTTCTCCTTTTTCTTCATCTTCTTTCTCTTCTTTTTCTTCTTCTTGTTTGTCTTCTTCCCCCTCTCTCTTTATTCTCTCCCCAACAGGATGTGTTCCTTGCCATCAGTCAACACCATTTATTTATATGGTATCTTACCTCGTGATGAAAGGTAAACCCTCATTCTTGTAAAGTCAGAACCATTAATACTCCTATTAGTATTTGTGGTACTAGTTAACTGTTGAAATTATACGTGGAAATACTGAAAGATATTACATGGAATCACTTAGATATTCAATGGTATTGCTCTTACCTCATTATGCAGCAGCAATGTCATAATATAAAGAATCTATTTGCCTTGTATAAGCAGAACCAGTCACTCTACTTTAGAAAAAATTCTTCATTGTGTGTCAAACAAGTGACATGAGAAGCTGAAATTGTCCATATGTCATCCTTTAACATCCAGTTCAATGGGACCAACGTTATATTCTACCAAGGTTACTCTTTCTTAAGCACTAATCTCTCTAATTCAGTTGAGTCTAAGAATTCGAGGAAGGAAAACAAATAAATTAAGTAATATTTTATTAAGTTTACTAAGAAAAATTCCCCAACCCTTTCATCCCAATTCTATTCTTTGCTTCATAGTCTAAGACATACTAACTATATTGGTCCCTTGTTCAAAGGACATACTGCATGTTATAATAAAACATACCAGCCTTAGAGGATATATTCTCCAAGCCAGTGGTATCATTATGTCATTCATAGGTCATTTCACAGTTCTATGTGTACAGTTGGGTTTGGCATATAATTAAGACTACGAATCCCAAAGATGTGATACTAGTTCTTTCATGAATAATTATGATGGCTGAAATACTGTGGGCAATGGTGGGAATTCATTTCCAACATAAGTACTTCTTCTATGGCAGAGAAAATACTGCCTTTTTCATGACATTAGGAATCCAATGTAATCTCCCCACTTCCAGGTAACTGGCATGTTTCTAGCATTTTTTAAAATTGTTGGCAGAGGTTGCACTCAGTAATTGTAAAAACTAGATCTGTTTATGAAAGTTTGTTGAAGCTATGTGTGAAAGGTTGTTGAACCCATGCATAACTCCCATCCCAGATACCATGATCTTACTTTTAATGGACCCATTTTGCAATGATCTAGAGTGAAACTCTGCTGTGTGCTGCCACTAAAACAAAAACGAAAATAAAAAATACACAAGCAAACAAACAAAACACTCAAAATACTTGTCTCTGCCTTAGTTTTCTGTCTGGTATAAAACACAGCATGAAATAAAAGGTTTGAGGTCATGTTAGGTTGTGTTATGCCAGTCATCAGGTTGAATACAACCCAAAGGCCTACTGAGTCTAAGGCTCCAAGGTTAGCAAAATAAGTATGTTTTGCCAGATGATGGCTGCTCATTTTGTAATATTAAGAGGAAGCAGCAAGCATTAGTTGACTTCAGTCAGAAGTTAGAAAAAAAGTGATAAGTCAAATATCAAAAGACTTTTGGTCTGGAAAACTAACTCTTCTAGCTCATATCGTACTAGAACTAGTACAACTGAAATATAAACCAAAGACTGAAATATAAACCAAATCAAACTCTGGCAAAAATCCCTTAAAACTAGACATTGTGTCAAAAAAGAAGATTATGTTAGGATGTTTCCTTTTAAATTCCCATAGAAAGACATGAAGATAGAACACACATTTTCCATAGAAGACAATCAATTTGGTGAGCATCAAATATGAATGCCTTGGAAGCTCATTCCCTTTCTCCCTTTTGTTGACTTAAATGAGACTAAGCCAGGATACAGAGACATTTAGCTGATGTCAGGCACAGCTGTTTCCAGGACCCTCACTGTGCAGACCTCATTACTTGGAGAAATTATGTGCCCTATCCCCTTTCAGGCTGACCCATAAATATGGAATGTGGTAAGGGAATGAGGTTCACTATCTTCCTTGGAATGTTCTTCGTAGCAAGTCCAGCCTGATAGCTGAAGTAGGTACCCTCTTTTGGAATCTTGAACATAGTGCAGTTAAATTGTCTAGGTCACCCTCTCCTGTGAAATAATGAGGGCTTGTGTGTCCCAATGGTCTCTTTTACTCTGCTGCTTGTAATTATTTCCCCAGCATCAACATTATGTGGTGCTAGTCATGTGAGTCCATGGCCTATTTCGCAATGCGGCAAAGAATTTCTCAGTTCTTTGCAAATAAAATCATTATTTTTTAGTTTCTTCCCCAATACCTAGTTTTCTTTCCATTTTATTAACCTTTCTTCTGGTTAGCCCACTGAATACTGGAATATCAGCAGCCATAACAAAAAATAAGGTGTTAGTGATTTCTTTAGTTGTGGTGACATGAATTCTTCAACACTTAACTAGATTACATGTATAAATGCACATAAACATTGAAATATGCTTATATATTCTTACTTTTACAGGATACATGATTTAATGCCAGGCAGATGGCTTATAATCTAGGTCATAGCACTTACTCATATTGTATGACTAGCTCATATTTCTCTCATGGGCATATTGGATTATGGCATTCTTTTTCTGGATCAATAATCTTAGTAAGTAGGTGCTTAACATTGTAGTAATTATAGTTAATATAAGAATTTATAGAAGGTCATGGGATGCTACAAGACAATCTATTTTTTGTTTGCAATTAAGAACCTATCATAATGTCCAAGATAGGGTAATCACGAGGTAAAGTTAACAATCGGATAAATAAAATAATGTTTACACATTTTATTTTTGAACTGTGCTGACTTTTGAGAATTGAAAAAGTAATGTATTTAATTACAGATTAACAGGACACTAAGGTAATATAAAATATCATATTAACTATTTAAAGCTTAGTGCATTTAGAAACTTGAAAACATTTCTGAATGATATGCCGTTAAGTTTCATTTAATAAAAAACATTTATGGAGAATAGAGGAGAACATCTTCAAACAACGATATTATATTTATTGTTAAGCTTTCAGTTTTATTTGGCTTAAAACATGGTCGGTTAAGAAGATATTAAAGAAAGTAGTAAGTAACACATGAAAGAAGCAGAATAAAGCATACACTAGCTTGGAAATTGGAGCAGGGAAATCTGATTTCAAGTATTTGTTCACTTATATTAATATGTATGACCTTAGGCATATTGCCTAACTTCATGAAAAGTCAGTGACCATATGACATAGTTTGACTTTGTCCCGACCCAAATCTCAACTTGAATTGTATCTCCCAGAATTGCCATCTGTTGTGTGAGGGACCCATGGGGAGGTAATTGAATCATGGGGGCCCGTCTTTCCAATGCTATTCTCCTGATAGTGAATAAAGCTCAGGAGATCTGATGGGCTTATCAGGAGTTTCTGCTTCTTCCTTGTTTTCTCTTCCTGACACCATGTAAGAAGTGCCTTTTGCCTCCCGCCATGATTCTGAGGCCTCCCCAGCCATGTGGAACTCTTTAAGTCCAATTAAACCTTTTTCTTGCCAGTCTCAGGTGTGTCTTTATGAGGAGCATGAAAATGGACTAATACACCACATCTGTAATATGGAGGTCTAAACACGCAACTCTTTTCTCATATGATTCAGAAGATGTGAAACATGAATGTGAAACTATTAACATGTCATGTAACACGTAGATAGTATATATACATGTTATTATATAATTATTATTATGAGATTATTATATAATTATCCAAGGATGTGAAAACAATTCTCAGACAAATGTACATATTCAAAAGATGGCATCACAGTTCTTCCAAAAATAAAAATCTAACTAAAAGGAGCATTTTGAAAGTAATTGTTAATTTCTTATTTCACTTTTTCTAAAAACTGACGGGAAAAAAAAAATATCAATTTGCATTAGTTTAAAAAGTCGAAATGGAGAATGGGTAAAGAGAGCACTATTCAGACTATAAAGCTAACTTTCTAAACATAGCAGTGAAAAAGCTAAAACTTTAACTAACAAAATAGGTAAAGATTGAAGCTTGTTTAAAAATATGTAAAATATAAAATTTTCTTAAAATTTATAAATTTAAATGGAAAATTTTAAATATATTAAATTTAAATAAATTTAGAAATATTTTAGATATAACGAATCCCAAATTCACTACACACACACACGCACACACATGCACACACACACAGAGAGAGAGAGTATATACACAGTGACAGGTACATTTGGAAAATCTATAATCATTATAGAAAGAAAATATTTGTATAAAATGTATATCTGAAGGAGAAAACTATGTAATACAAAGATTAATTTTATTTTTATTTAACTTAATAAATATTTTTATTTTTATTTTAATCTTTTCATATTCCAAAGGCTGTTGGGGTACAAGTCCAAAAGTATAGACACCATAAGATAATGGCATTACTAATGTAATGTGAAAATTACTATATTTATATACATAATAGTTTCAATGCATCAATAGAAACTTATTAACAATAAAATAAAATTAGTAATATAGCAACAGGTAGTTTTATAAAAAGTAATAAGTTAATTTCCACCATTCAATAAACCATACAAATATGCATTAGTGAAAAAATAAGTGCAGTGTATCTTTATAAAATAATGCTTGTGTGAGTGAACTTGATATCTGCTTTTCCTCCAATGCCAATCAACTTTTCTGTTGAGATTCAACTATATTCAGCATTACTTAATTTTTTTTTCCATTTTTTTAAAATTCAAAATAATTTTCCCAAGGCATCAGTTCACCTAGAAATGGAAGCATGTTAAAGGATAGACACTTAAATATGGTTGAAAAGATCCTTGATACAATATTTTACATATGGTTTATTTTATCACATAAACATTAGCTTCTTTTCTGTGGGCTCACAGAAAAGAGGTATTAAAATGGCCCAGAGTGCTACAAAAATAACATCCTGTCAATTTAAATCAGAGAATGTTTTTTATATGTGACATCAAAATTTAGCTGTTATGAAAACAAACATGCCTGGTACTCCTGATTTCCAAAAATCCAACACATCACGATCTCTCCACTTATGATCCATTTATATTGACACTGTTTAATCCAATCCAAAATTTTGTACATGTTTAGTGTTTTCTTTGCTATTTATTTTATTTTATTTATTTTTACAGTTTACTATTATTAGTCAGTGCAGGATTAAGAATGACTAAAATTTAAATTAAAATTTACATTAAAAATTAAGTTGTTAACATTTAACTTCATAGCTTTATTTACTGAGAAACTTTTAAGTAATTTATTTACTATCAAATTTTATCAATTACATATGCAAATTAATAATTCATATACATAATAACAGTATATCACATTTGAAAAATGTTATTCAAAAGCTATTATTTCACCAAAAGTAAAACAATTATAAAAATAAATTATTAATTAAAAATTATTTCTCATGAACTTAACTTTTAACTTTTCCTTTTTTTATTGACACATAATGTTTGTACATATTTATTGGGTATGTGTGATATTTTGTTGTATATGAATAATGTGTAATGATCATGTCAGGGTATTTAGATGACCCATCACCTTGATCAGTTATCATTTCTATGTGTTGAGGACATTTCAAGTAGTTACTTTAACTATTTTATAATATAGAATACATAGTTGTTAACTATAGCCACTCTACTCTGCTACTGAACATGAGAACTTAACTGCTTCTAACTATATGTTTGTACACATTAACCAACCTTTCTTTACCCACCTCCCTCACACACACACTCACATTCTTCCCAGCCTCTGGTAGCTATCATTCTACTTTCCACCTCCATGAAACCAACTTTTGTTTAGTTTCCCAACATGAATGAGTACATATGATATTTGTCTTTCTGTACCGCTTTCTTCCCCTCCCACTACAGATTCAAATCTATTCAAGCATTGAGAAACAAACAGTTAAATAATTTGGGGTCACTTAATTAGCATAGACTTTAAACTTTATGCAAGATTAAAAATAATGAAAACTATTATTAGAATGTTTTTGCGTAACCCACTCACATATTCATTAAATACGTGTAGCCTGATTATTTTATACGTCACCATATTTAAAAATAAGGATGTTTTATATATATGTACATATATTTATAGTAGTGATACTAATATATATAATTTTATAAAGAGATAAAATATCAATACATACAATATAATATAGTATAATCAGAATGATGAAAGAGGAATAGACAAAATGTTATTGTGAATCATGGTGGAATTTCAAAGGCAGGAAATATATATAAGATTATGCTAACTATGAGAAGTAAGGTACAAAAACATTTACATTGTGCAGTGTTTGAAACAAGTCCAAAAAAAGATATTTTGTTAAATATATTTTAATTAAATCTACAAAATCTAATGCCATTCTAGCAGATGAAAATAATAGTAGATTTGTATTTTTTAACTTGGAAAAGAGTCCTAAAATTTTAAAAGATTGAATGATATGTGCAGACCCAACTGCATAAGAGTGTGTTAAGAGAAAAAAGTGGAAAGAATAATCAAGTTCCAAAATTTCCAGCAGGACACACTTGCTTTTCTCAATGTGGCAGTAGACATTTACATGGAGGCTAACAAGAGTGATAGAAGATTATAATCGTAAACACCATGAATGAGAAATTGTAGGTATGATAGAAGAAGTCCTGACAACATCACTCTAGAAGAAGCTGGAATTCACAAATTTACCTTATTAAGAAGACTTAATTTGTTTTCTTTTGCAACATTCCACAGAAGTGAAATGGAAATGGAAAAACAGATAAGTCCATGTGTTCCCAGAGGTCAAGTGAGTGATCAGAGTGACTTACGTGTCTTTAATGGTCCCCTCAGATTGACTAAACTTTAGTCATATTTCTTCCTAACTCTAGTCTCTAGATCCCTCTTTTCTTAGAACATTTGCTTTAGAAAACTTGTAATTGTACTTTTCATTTCTGCTCCTTTGAAATGTAAATTATCTCCAAGCCTCTCTCTTTAGAACCTGAGAGCCATCACTTTGAAATATATACATCAGAAAGGAAGTGCCTCAAAAGAAGACATACAAATGTCCAACAGGTATATAAAAAAGTTGAATATCACTAATAATCAGAGAAATGCCAATCAAAATTACAATGAGATATAATTTCACTGCAGTTATAATGGCTTTTATCCAAAGGCAGACAATAACAAATGCTGGTGCAGATGTGGAAAAACGGGAAGCCCCTACGCTGTTTATAAGAATGTAAATTAGTACCACCACTAAGGAGAACAGTCTGGGGGTGTCCTCAAAAAACTATAAATAGACCTACCGTATGATACAGCAGCCTTACTGCTAGGTATATACACAAAATAATGGTAATTAGTAGGATGAACTGCTGTCTGCATTCTCATGTTTATTGCAGCACTATTCACAATAGCCGAGATATGGAATCAACCTGAGTACCCATCAGTGGATAAATGGATAAAGAAAATGTGGTACATATACACGATGAAACATGATTCATCCATAAAAATAAATCCTGTCATTCACAACAACATAGATAGAACTGAAGGATATTATGTTAAGTGAAATAAGCTAGCCACAGAAGGACAAATTTCACATATTCTCACTGATATGTGGGAGCTATTTTTTTTTTTTTAATGAACCCATGGGCTGGGGTTAAATCCTGTCATTCACAACAACATAGATAGAACTGAAGGATATTATGTTAAGTGAAATGCCACAGAAGGACAAATTTCACATATTCTCACTCATATGTGGGAGCTAAATTTTTTTTTAAGTGAACCCATGGGCTGGGATCAGTGCCTGTGATCCCAGCGATTTGGGTGGCTGAGGAGGGAGGATCACTTGAGTCCAGGAATTTGAGGCCAGCCTAGACAACACAGGGAGACCCTGTCTCTACAAGAAACAAAAATAAATTATCCAGGCATAATGGCATGTGCCTGTAATCGCAGCTACTGGGGAGGCGAAGCGGTAGGAGTATTGAATCTGGGAGGTTAAGGGTGCAGTGAGCCATGATCACACCACGGCACTCCAGATTGGGTGACAGAGTGACATCGCTCCTTACCCCATCTTCTCCAAAAAAAAAAGAAAGAAAGAAGGAAGGAAGGAAGGGAGGGAGGGAAGGAGGAAGGAAAGAAAGGAAGGAAGGAGGAAAGAAAGAAAGAAAGAAAGAAAGAAAGAGAGAGAGAGAAAGAAAGAAAGTAAAGAAAGAAAGAAGGAAAGAAAGAAAGAGAAAGAAGAAAAAAGAAAGAAAGAAAAAGAGGAAGGAAGGAAGGAAGAAAAGAGAAAGAGAAAGAAAGAAACAAGGAAAGGAGGAAAGAAAGAAAAAGAAAGAAAGAGAAAGAAAAAAAGAAAGAGAAGAAAGAAAGAAAGAAAGAAAGAAAGAAAGAAAAGAAAGAATACATAAACATAGTGAGGAGAATGGTGGTTAGCAAAGGCTGGGAAGGATAACAGAAAGGGGGAGACAAAGTGGGGATGGTTAAAGGGTACAAAAATACAGTTGATAGAGTGAATAAGATCTGGTATTTGGTGGCACAGTATGACTATACTTAAAATATTTTATTGTATATTTTAAAATGACAAAAAGATTGGAATTGTAATGTTCCCAACACAAAGAAATGATAAATGCTGCATGTGGATACACCAATTCCCCTAATTTGATGATTTCACATTGTATGACTATATCCGAAGTTACATTTACCTTATAAATATATACAATTATTATGTACCCATAATAATTAAAAATAAAAATAGAATTAAAAAAAAGTGCCCTATCTTTCAGTCTCACAGGGATGAGATTAATCTCATTAAGCACCATTAGCAAACACATGGCCTGTCACATTGGCCTAACATCCTCTAGGGTTGAGCCACCCCTAGCTCACAGCAGTGCTTTAAACTTTTCCTCTGGTCCCACTTGGTAGCTCATGCCTGTAATCCCAGAACTTGGGGAGGCCGAGGTGGGTGGATCACCTGAGGTCTGGAGTTCAAGACCAGCCTGGCCAACATGGTGAAACCCCATCTCTACTAAAAATACAAAAAATTAGCTAGGTGTGGTGGCAGGTGCCTGTAATCCCAGCTACTCAGGAGGCTGAGGCAGGAGAATCACTTGAACCCGGGGGTGGAGGTTGCAGTGAGCCGAGATCGTGCCATTGCACTCCAGCCTGGGCAACAAGAGCAAAACTCCGTCTCAAAAACAAAACAAAACAAAAAAAACAACAAAAAAAACACCTTCCTCTTTTGCCTTTTGCTTTGGCAGAATTAAGTCCACTCTCACTCCCTCATTGCAATATTTTGACTCATATTGGAATAGTCTTGAATACATCTTTCCCTGTTTAATTCCATTCAGTGCAATTTTCTTTGAAACCAAGCATTCTGTAATGATTAAAAAATACTACAACTTAGAATATGTAATTAAAATGCTCACATCTTTCATTCCTTTTGTATGGTTTATTGTTTGATATATTTAGAATTAATCCCCCTGTAAAGTATGAGGCACTCACTCTTTGATCTTGACTTACTTTCAGATGTCTGCTAAGTTGTCTATAAATAATTTGTTGTTACTTGATTCTACTGATTTGTAACATCACCAATTTTATATTCTATATTCATCCATGCCTTTGGTTTTATTCTGGGCATTACACGTGTTTTGTTACTAAGAGTGTCTTTATGGGCCATAGTGACATGGTTTAATTATTGATGTTTTGTCATCCAATTCAATATCTGGATAGCATGTTTTTTCTTGTGTTATTTCTCAATTAGAATTTCCCTGGATATACATATTTATTTAACTAAACACAAAAATTTTAGCTTCATATTTTCTATTTCTTGGGAATATTAATGTCAATATATTGACCACAGTTATATTAAATTTATAGTTGGACTTAAGATCTTTGACATCTTTATGATTTTGAGTTTTCCTGATCTTGAAATTGTTTGTCCTATAATTTGTGTGTGCTACCATTTCAAGGATATTTGAAATTTTGCTTCATTTACTATAATTACTGCACGTTCTTATATAATTTATTTTTCGATATTTGATGTTTTGTACTGCTGAAAATTATTATTTTCTTTCATTATTTTCTCGTCAGGTAGTGATGTTTTAAAATATTTTGTAAACTATTTTGTTACTTAATTGTATCTTTATTTGTGTGGATTTTTTTCTTTTCAAATTATCTTTCTTGGGTATTTATGTGTGAGTAGCATCATTATTTTCTTTAAAAAATATTTACTAATCACTTAATATCTGCTAGATGCTTTCAGTATACAAATTCATCAAAGGTTCCATTTTTTTTCACAGACATTACTATGATTGGTCTATTCTAAATCTTACATTAATTGAGACAGATCTAGTAATGCAGTATGATACATAAAATGTTATATATATTTTAAACAGAAATATGTTTTAACTGTGAAAAGACATGTTTGAGAATGACAGATTGCAAGTCAAAATGGTGGTTATTCTTGGGACAGGAGGGAGAAAGTGTGAAGAGGGAGAATTATGTATACAGGGTATTTATATTTGTATTGTTTAAATTCTTGCAATATTGGTACTTGAATATAAACTTTTCCATAGATTCAAAGCACAGATTATATGTTGTACTGACCAAGTCTTTGGAAGATTAACTTTATAATGAGTAATTCAATGACTTTATATAAAAGTATTTTAAGTAGGACAGATTCATTATGGAAACTAATGAAACAAGCTACTTTGTCAGTAGCTTTCAATAATTTGGTTGAACTTACCTTTTCTCCTCATGATAAATGTTTAATGAGTATTATTCATTGCTCTATCTACTCTAACTTAAAATAATTTTATTTATTTTAATGAAAATAAATGAAAGCCTACAGACAGAATTTGACTTGCAAAAGGAAATCAAATACATATATGTTCATAAATGATACATATTAATATTTATTCCCATCCTTACTACTTTGAAATAAGAAATTGACTGTGGTGGTTAAATGGTGGTTAAATGATGAATTGTCTAAATGCCACTTCATTATCTTTAAACCTTGAGGCAGTGTCTATAAAAGGCTGCATATTGGAAGATATCCACTAGTTATAAAAATCTGAAATCTGTATAATTGGTTTTCCTTCTGTTCAATGAATTCCTATTAGGTTTTTAAAGAAATAAACATGTAAATTTTAGAAGTCACTGGTTATATACGTTCATACAAATCTAAATATACAAATCTTTCTGACATATTTTAATTTTGACTTTCAATTCATTCCAAAAAGCTTAAAAAATGATAATTTAAATACCTTCTAAGAAACTATTAAAATCAAGATATTGAATCAAAGTAATTACTTCTTTTAATAAAAAAGTTAAATGTATGTTTTATAATATATTAGTACTATATGTAATTAGTACATATTCATATTTGAACACAATACAATGAATCACAACATAAAGTTATGAAGTTAGTGGGATATGTTTTGGGAAACTTAAATTACTAGAAGATATATAAATATGTGTTTATTTTTCTTCCAATTGAAATTATTAAATATGTTTTATTGGCCTAGACATCACAATTTGATAGCCAAAGATTTTCAGTCCCTATCTCTCTGTTTTTTCACAAAGAATGCAAAAACTATGATGTTTTAAAATGTTTTGTGTAGTAGTATATCTTTTGCAATACAGCATTTACTGTCTTGTCAGAAACAGAAGGAAGAATATTATCATAATAAGCACCCCCTCATGTATTATGAAATTCCCATACAGAATTTAGGACAGAATGAAACATAAAATAGATATGTAATTAGCAAGTCAGGATCCCAGAATCCCAGTTTATTTTTCCAGCCACATGTTGTAGTCAAGATTGTTGATGTTCATATGCAGAGAACACATTTTATGCCATAAGGCCTGGGCTTGGCTGTAACACATGATAGCCATAAAAACCTTTTTTATGCGTGTACAACTGGCACAAAGGGTGTACTTAAAGATAGTAAGTAGTCTAGTCAGTGTCTCTCCTGTGTGCCCATATCATAATCACTGCTTTTGAAATATTAATTTTCTCCAAAAAGCAATGGAAATATACAAGAGAAAGACTATTAAAAAAGAGAGAGAATATAGGAATGGAAAAACAAACATCGTATGTTCTCACTGATTATGCAGGAGATAAGCTATGAGGACGCAAAGGCATAAGAATGATACAATGGACTCTGCGGACTTGAGGGGGAAGAATGGGAGCGAAGGAGGGATAAAAGACTACAAATATGGTGCAGTATATACTGATCAGGTGATGGGTGCACCCAAATCTCACAAATCACCACTAAAGATCTTACTCATGTAACCGAAGACCACTTGTACCCCAATAACTTATGGAAAAAATAAATAAATTTTAAAAAGGAGAGAATATTTATTCTTCTCATTTTTTATGCTGTGTTCCTCTGTGTGTGTGTGTGTGTGTGTGTGTGTGTGTGTGTTTATTCCATCCACTGTGCACCCCTTCCAATAATCTGTCTCAGGTGAATCAGCAGAAACAGATTTTTCCCTCCATTTAGAGTGATAGGGTCAGTGGTGGTGTTTTTCCTTCTGCAAGAAAACTTACTCTGCAGCTTGCTACGTCTCATTTTTAACCCAATAGATTGCAAATTCTTAACTCACATAAAGTCATTTTGGAAGAATAAGGTGAAAAATTCAGCTCTACAGATCATTTTATTAATTATTTACGTTCATCTACATTTTCCAACCAAAATTACTAGAGTTGTATATTACCAGACAGGAGCATAACCAAAATCATTATTTTACATGCCGAAATTTAAATATTTACCACTATTCCAAGCATTTTGGTAACATGGGTTTATAGTGTGTTGTACATTTCAAAGTTACTAATAAAGTAAATTTCAAATGTTCTCACCACAAAAAAATGATAAGTGTTTGAGGCAATTGACATGTAAATTATCTTGCTCTAATTATTTCAAATTGTATTAATAAATCATAACATTGGATTGTGCCCCATTTATATAAAATTAGAATTCATCAATTTAGAATAAAATTTAAAAAGACAGAAAAAGCAATTTTTTTATTGATTCTAATACATGAAACATAAACTGCCTCAAACACTCAAAAAAGAGTCAGTCTTAGGCAGAAATTAAAATACACAGAAATGCAAAGTAAAAACTGCACATGGATTTGCTGGAAACAGATGTTGAGAAAAAGTTTGCAATGAAAAATATTTGTTAGAGATCAACACTTGTAAAGGGGAAGAGGGCACATGATTGGCCACTGTAAGAGGTTAAATTGTGATGAATGCTCAGTCTAGCCAAGGCCATTCTTGTATGGAGTTCTAGAGTCAGTATCATCTGTTACAGTAATCCTGTTTCATGTCAGAATTGCTTGGCTGTTTACCCCCTTTTCACTCAGTTACTACGTGTAAGTTGCCAGGGAAATTGTGATGTGCAGCAAGGTGGTTCTCTGCACATGAGGCAGATCCTGAGTATCTGCAAGCTGGAAACTGCTTACTGAATGCAATCTCTAAAATGGGAAGCAAGTTATCCCTATAGGGGATTCTGGAAGACGCTCTCTGTTATTGTTTACTCCTTATGACATATGGATCTTTTTCATATACATTTGAGTACAGCTCCTCCCTGATTCCCTGGGGCTCTTTTCCTGAGGGAATACTTGGAAGTATGCAGCTAATGGGGACAAAATAAGCTCCTGCCACTGTAGTCATCTCAAGAACAATGACTATTCTCCATCTCCTCCCTCCACTATCTATTCCAGATCCTCTTTCCTCTCGTTATCTTGGTGATTTACCTGGTGGTATGACCCAAACTTTTATACAAAAGTGACCTGAGCCTGTGGAATCTCTTCTCAGGTTGGGTTTGCTGTGCATGTCCATTTAGTCACAATCAAGCACGTACAATAATAAATTTCAGCAGATTACATGTGAACATATTTTCCTCCCTATCTCCAAAATGTAATAATAGCCTTGCTCTCCATTGATTATCAAGACCAGTTACTTCTTGAAATGCACTAGAACCTCTTCTTTCCTTCATGTCTCTAGAGACAAAGCCCAAAGTGCCTAGGTGTCAGCTGTGGCTTATATATCAATGGGATTCTTGATGTTTTTCATTTGATACCCTGCAGATCCCAAAGTTGTGCAGAAAGAAAACAAAAAGCCCATTAATCATTTATTGGAAATTGTTGTAAGTGGGGCTATTCCTGCTTCTGTCCCTTGGCTCATGGAACTATATATTCTTCCTGTTTGGGACACAGCATCACATAGTAATTGTCCTAGCTCATTTGGGCTGCCATAGCAGCATAGCATGAACTGAGTGATTTACAGACAATGGAAATTGATTTCTCTTTTGTAGGCTGGGAAGTCCACAATCAAGGTCCCAGCAGATTGAGTGTCATCTGAGGATCTGTCCATCATAGAGGACACTTTCTTGCTGCATCCTCACATGGTGGAATGAGCCAATTAGCTCCCTTTGGTCTTTTTCATAAGAGCACTAATTCCATTCATAGGGCTTCATCAACACGATCTAATTACCTCCTAAAGGCCCACATCTTAGTGAAATCACATTGGGGTTAGATTTTAACAAATGGATTTAGGGGAGATACAAACATTCAAACCACAGCAGCAATCTTTCATTTAATACATGGATTTTCATTTCATTTAATATACTGCATAGACAACGGCAGTATATCCTAATTGAGTATTGCCTCTGAGTTGGAGCTTATCTGTGCTTTCAATAAGGCAATCCAACACTCAGAAGTCCAGAAGCTTCTGAGTAGTGTGGATGTGATACTGTCAGTAAATCCCAGGGACATGAGCCATCCTAAAACCTTACCACTGTATAGTGGGTCCACTGATCTGATTATGTGGCACCCCATGTCCATGGGATAAACAAGGACTAATCCTTAACATGGTGATATTAACTGAAGTTCTATGGGCAGATAAGGCAAACTGATATTCATAATATGTGTCTAGTTTTGTGAGAACACATTTCTGACTTTTTCAGAATGCAAGGTGACCAACATAGTTAACCTGCCATCAAGTGCCTATTGAGGTTTCAAGCCTGTGATACCTATTCAAATTATAGGCACAACATTGTTCTTTGTTGCTAGCAGATTATACAATTGGCATTAATCATAGTTGCATCAGTAAGTCTAAGTTGTTGGGCCAACATATAGAATCAATCTCTCTCAGCGTGACTACTTTGTTCATGTGCTCATTGTGCCAGTACTTGGGGGGCCAGTGACATAAACTGCTAATGTCAGTCAACCAGTTTACTTTGTCTATTTGGCTGTTTAGTACTTCTTCTACTAAATAGTATTTGTTCCAAATTATTAAACAAAGCAATCAAACCTCCTGCACTTGTATAGCCATGGTTTCACCGGATGGACCTTTCTTTCTCCAGTGTTATTGAGAAAAAAAATCCAGCCATTTCAATTTTTGTGGGAAAAGTGACTGCCAACTGTCGATATTTTGATTCCCAACTGTCAGTACTTTTTGAAATCTTTCTTCCTTTGTATAGTGCAAATTTCTGAAGCAAGAATCTTTCCAATCTCATACTTGGGGTATATAAAGTTGACCACAATGATTGAGGAATAAAATATTGGAAGGGATTTGGGGGTTTTGGCCTTCAGTAACCTGACTGTCACATACTCCTCTAAGTTTTCGTTAATGTGTCTCACTCTCAACCTCAGCTGCACCTGGTAACTCTTTGAGTTAGATGTACCTCTGAAAATAGGAAAGGTAAGTGCAATTCTACATACTAAATTCCCCTTAATCTTCTGCAGCTCTGCATCCAGCCAGGGGTGAGATAATAGAATAGAAGAGTTTAAAGTTTTATTATAAGGAGTTTCAATAAATCCTCTTTTCAGTGACATCATGAACCCCAGATTAACAGGTCTTGATGACTTCAATTCCTTAGATTTTTCTAGGATTTAGCCCTAGAAGTGGATCTGAAATCTATATAATTAACATATTTCTTCAAGAAATATGCTATCAAGCACATTTCAGGAAATATTTTGGATTCCAGTTTAAAAGTATATCTTAAATTCATCTATTTTTTTCAAGCTTCACTAGCCTAGTTTATGCTGCCTTGTTTTGGGGGTGCTTTCACAGTCACCGAACAAGTTTCTCTGCTCTTCTGGTTGCCTAACTGTAATAAATTCTTCACATGTTAATCTGGGTTACTATTTTGTGATGTAAATTATATTATGCCATTTTCTTTAATACCCATCTTTGGTTTTCAAGTGTAAAATCTTTCCATAGCTTCAAAACTTTCTAAGTAATATTATTTGCTTACCTTTTCAAATAACATATCACCTTCTCCATCTGTGACAGATTGAATTATTATTTCAGTTTATTGTTCTCTTTTTTCTTTATAAAAAAATAACTTCACTACCCCAATATTGAGCTTGGTTTTGTGTGTTAGCTTCAGTTGGAGGAAGGAGAGATATGATGTACACCGCATCCCAGTGAAGTTTAAATAGGTTTTCAAATGGGATTACCTGGTTCAGGTTAGTCTTTTCTTTCTTCTTTGGTCAGGAGAACATCATCTCTCACTTAGTGTCGACACCTTCAGTGAGGGTTCCAAAATGGGAAGAGATGGGTATCATAGCATAGGCTACAGTAGGCCTCTATCTTGGATCAGACATACAATTGACCTAGTTTCTACATTTAATCTATATTTAATCCTACAAGTAATTTTCATTGTTTTAAAAAACTGAGAGTTTAGAACTGTAACTTCAGCGAAGTCAACCAAAGCGCCCTCTTATATTCCAATCTCACTGGTCCTCTGTCACTTCTTACCAAATTCTCATCTGCTTCCCATCCTTAGGCCATCGTTTGAGTGTCTGCCTTTGCCTAATTCACTCATTAGACTTCAGATTCTTAAAGTCTCAGAATTAAATATAACTTCTCAGAGGTAACAAAACATTACATTACCATGTTCATTTACTTCAAACACTAACAATATTTGACAAGTTAAAAATATTTAATTGTTTCATTTACTATCTCCTCTGTGACATAGGGCAAATAATGTGTCTGCTTGCCTTTTGAAGCCTCACAGGTAGGAGACACTTAGGATGTATATGTTAAAATAATGAATAAGACCTTGGACATTTCCCACTTCTCAGTATGGTTCTAGGGAACTTTATAATAATAATAATCACAGTGATGCTTCTGAGAAAATAAGTAACCTCTTTCCTTTTCTCCATCGACTATCAGCTACAGACATTTCCTATTACATTTTGTATTATGCTGAATTTCAGCATTTTGAACTTTTTCTATTTTGGGTGTCAAAAAGTGAATATTCTCCAAGACTACCCTAACCAGGTTAACATTTTTGGAAAATTGCCATTCATCTGTAAATCTTAATGAAAAATTATTTCTCTTACATATTTTGGGCATGGATTGTCCTAGTGAAAACAAATCCATCACCTGCAATTGTGGAAGTTTCTCCACTATTCATCTTTGCTATTTTACCCTCGTGTTCCTCTTGAATGATAATCAAACTTTTTTCTACCACTGACCTCTGATACTCTCCACTTTTGATCTAGTGATAAATTGCCTTCCAGATTCTGATAAACTGCTCCTTAGGTAAAGTTGCAGCATAAAAGTTGCAAACTCTGATACTAAGAAAGCTCTTTCTTTTACAGAACTGACTCCTTCCTTACAAAATGCACAATCATATCAGGGAGTAGTCGATTAGGGCGATTCCCAACGTCAGTCACACAATGTAGAAGCCGTTGTTTCTTTTGACAGTCAAACCTGGTTCAACTTTCACCAGAACTTCTTAAGAACATGTACTTGTCAGTATTTGCTTGCACTCCGATTGTTAATAAACTTCCACTTCTTCTTTCATAGGGTTCTTAGATATCTCACACGTCACATAAAGTAGCTACATATCCATTTAACATGTTCTTAACATTGCTTAAGCGTAAATACATTTATTTTCTGAGCCTTTCCTAGTAGAAACCTTGTCCACTAGGAATAATCATAATACCTCTAGGCGGCAGTGTTGCCTAACACCATGAAGTCAGAAGGGAACCTCAGTTCTGACCCAAGCAGGAAGTTTTATCGTAACTTGTGAGTAGGCTGTATTTAGTAGGTTCAAAAATATTTAAATGCCAATGATTGCAAATATCAAATTAAGACTACCTGATCATAGCATATGTTAGTGAGAATCATTAACTCAGAGAAATGTGAATACAAATTTCTCATTATTAAATTTTTATGATTTCTCAATATCTAATGCATAGCTACACTAAACTTATGACTAGTTTTGGCTGAAGGTTTGTGGATCTTAGATAATAATGTTTGTTCTTTCTAAAATATTCTCTTTTGCTCAGAATATTTAAAATTTTCTTATTTTTATAAAACAATTATTTATTATTTATATAAAATATTTTCAAAACACAAAATTCTTATTTCAATTTTTATAGTCTTTAATAAAATCTCTCATACACAAATATGTATATTCTTGGGGAAAAAAACAAATATTCTAATGTGCTTTTCAATCAAATATTTCCATTAGGTAAATTGGTAAATTACCTTACATCTCAAATAATATAAAGGTCTCTTTTACACAAAATATATCATGAGTTTATACAATCATGCTGTTAATTCATTTATATGTGTATGTATTTAATTTTTAGTCTGATTTTTTAAAGAAAATTGCATAACAGTATTTTTAAAGGAGACAGTTTTTAAACGTAATAAAACTAAATTAAAATACATAATGATATGTCTGACAAAAAAATCAAAAAACAGAAAAATATTGACTCTGGCCTTCACACTCCAAATGGAATTGCCTCTCTTACCTATAGCCTATTCCAGGCTGAATTTATTTATTTTAGATTATCTAGTCTAGAGAAAAAAATCCAAAATAAGATAAATTACTGACTTCCTTATTTTATCATAGTGATGTTCCTGAAAGTTCTCTTCAGTACAGTTTCTGCTATTGTCTGTCTCTGAGTCTGTTTCTGAGGAAACCTGCCCTGGAGTATCTAAGAATGACTTAAATGGATGAAGCAAGTACTTATGCAAGTCAGTTCCTCAACATCAAAACAAAAACAAACAAAAATCCTTTTCCTTTTTTGTCTAGCTTAATGGATGAGGGGATCCTTTCGAATTTTTTATATTGTACATTGTATTGATAGTAACTAACTCAGTAACTAGAAAAATAGTAGAAGTATAATAAACATGCCTTAGATTAATATATATTTTGCATCTAGCTGTATTTCAAATAATATTAATGTAAATACTATTTTTTAATTCAGACTCAGAAATACTCAAGAATATAGCAAAAGTGAATTAATTTTTAACATTACTTATATTAACAGCCCTTCTCTAATTAATGAATGAAAACATTATCAATATTTTGAATATTTCCATTTCACATTTATCCAAATTTGTCAATTTTATAAAAATGTAGCCCCCCCAACTCCACTTATTTTTTTGCTTGTTTATCTTTTTAAAGGATAGGACATGTCCTCCATTGGGCCCTGGTGCTACTTTTCTAGATAACGTTTGGCAAGAAGTTTTATGATCATTAATATTATTTTCTAAGTAGACACTCCTTTTGTCTTAAATGTTATGAGATCTTTCTTGACACAGGGTCTTAAAATTATCCTGTATGTTATGATAGTTCATGTAACATAAGAGTTTGATTGATTCATGTAATCTGATGTTTCCAAGACTTGACTGATAATCAGAATTACTTGAAGAACTTTTGAAAAAACACATACTTCCTGGCCTGATAAAAAAAAATATGTGAGTACTTTTTCGATATTCAATTGTTATTGATTTAAGAATCTGTTTTTTAAAACATCTCCATGATGATTCAAATGTACAAACATATCTGGCAATAAAAAAATTGTAACTGTGAAGCTCTGTTATATAATACCGGTGAAAATCGTGGAAATTGAAGTTTCCCCAAGTTTTTAAGAAACACTTGGGTCTTCAGTAATTTTTTCTCTCAACTACAGTGAGACATTTCTATAACATATTAAATTTCATTGTCTGGTTTAGATTAAGCTATTTGACAAATGAAAATAAGTCGATAATATCATTTGGAAAATCAAATATATTTGTAGGCATAGATAAAGCTATGTTAGAAACTAAAAGTAAACGCGTGATTGTCTCTGAATTTATTTAATTATGCTCATATTTCACAGTTTCAAAACAGCCATCTGTTTATTTGATGCAGCAAGGAAAAGAATGTTTATTCTAACAACTTGCATACTATCAAAATAAAAAGACACACTAGAATAGAATAACTATTCTAGAATAACTATTCTAAGAAGATGCACTAGAATAGAACTATCTACAAATTAAATGGCATGCATTCAAACTGTGAGTAGGATAAAATGAAGATAAAAGGGATAAAATTAAAAAGATAAAAGGGAACATCAGATGATATATGATGATACATATCTGTGTGGTCTTTGGTTAATGAATTAACAAGATAAGGCAAAATGATAATAGTTTGTAGAATGACATGTTCTCATCATGTAGTCCATGCTGTAGGATAATACACAAGACTCCCAGCTCCCAGACCAAATTACTATTCCCCTAGCCAAGAGAACTGTTAGCTGTCAATGACTCACAGTCGAGTATCTCTCGGATATTTCAATCAGCTGAAAGGGCAGTGTGTATCTAATGATTAGTTATTAAAAGGTTTCGAAGGCCAGCCCCTTTTCTCATCTATGAGAACTCTTTTTGGTGAGACAATTCCTCATGGCAGTCCATCTCATTTGCACATCTTGCAAACAGAGGCATTAACTAGCTAAAGATATGTGCACATTGAACTAACTTGGAAGATAGAGATAGGACAATTTTCTGTGAAAAAAGGGAAGGTTTATTTAAAGTCTTGGAAGATAGAGATAGTATCTCCTTCACTAGCAATGTACAGGCATATTTATTGCCAGTATATAAGATTTTATTTCCTTAAGTTCAACTTACTTCATATGCAGCCATCCATCTTTTTCTAATGCATTGCCCCATGGAACTTGGCAAGGAAAACTGACACAAGTATTCCAGTGCTCATAACGTTCATTGTGAATAGCAAAATGCTTGTTCTCTGACCAAGGAGTCTCATGTCTCTGCCAGCCTCAATAAAACTGTAAGGGAATAACTTGTTAGCTTGCAAATACAGTAAAATCTCAGACTCTTCACCATTCTTGATAATCTGAAGATCTGTCCCAGCTCCAGATCTCCCTGTGGGATGAACTGTGACTTGTGTTGCAATCTCACTCTATATAAACTTTTTTACTCTGCCCAGTTCTGATTCCTTCATTCCACTGCAGTGATTTTCCTTGAAAGCACTCATTAATACAATTCCTATAGGCAATTGTCTGTATTAAAGATTATTTCTGAGGAAAGCTCATCAGAAAGCATGTGCTATGAGTGGTATGATGAACCAGATTCCATGATAGGATTTTGTGGCTGGATATGCTGATAATGAAATGGGAATTAGGATCTCATTACCAACAAACTGTGACATTTTACAGCAATGACTCTGTTGAAATAATTAATGTGGTAAACTAGAATGATATATTACACCGGTGGAGGCTTTATCAGTCAGGATTTAACCAGGGAAGAACCAGTAGGAGGTATACATAGTAAAGGTGCTACTGGGATTTGATCTCACCCAATTGTATATGAAAGCTGTTGTTTTTATAGTTGACAAGGAACTTTAAGTCCACAGGTCAGGCCCTTAAAAAAAGATAAGTAAGAGCAGGAACTCAGGAGAACACATGCCAGCTGCCTCTACTTATGTTCTTTGTGAAATAACTTTCCTAGAGGAGAAACTGACAACCTATGTCATGAAATTGTAGAGAAATCTGGCTCAGGAGTCAGTTAAGTTGAAGGAGGAATGTGGGTGAAATGGAGAATTTATACTCATGGCTGCTGTTCCATGCCAATAAAAGTAAGCCAGCAGATACGTGACGTGTGAGTTACAAAGGCACTTCCACTGCATTTCTGAAAGCAAAGAAAGCAACAGCAACGACAAAAACAACAAAAATATTCTGTTTCAAGTCTTCCTCTGAAATCTCACTGAAAAATATATCTGTGGACCACTCTAACCAGAAGCTTAAAGGAAAGGGAGTTCTGGGAAGCATACTTTAGCCTAACCAAGTTGACACAATATAAAGCTGTCACAGGTGAAATAACTAAGCACTGTAAAAGCTTTCAACTGTATTTGGAAATTCTTTAAGTGAGTTTTTCAATTTCAGAAGCTCTGATTGATTTCTTTTTAATGTTTATCTTTTTAATTTGTTTATTTAATTTAAAACTAAATAAAATTTAAAATTTAATGTTTATGTTAAACATGTTTTTAATATTTTATAGTAAAATATATGAAAATGTCTTTATATGTTCTATATATTTATTATGATTTATTTTTAATATGTTTATTCAGGGAAGTAGTGTTTATAAGGATAATAGCATTTGTGGGTTGTTGCTGAGTACTGTTGAATATAACATGTAGCAGAAACGACTAAATGGTTACAAATGATTAAAACCAAATGGGAAAGTCACAGGGTTTCCTTTGACACATTTAATATAATTATGATCTCGATTAGCCACAAGGAAATGCAAATAAACTGAGTTTAAGATCTAGGGATTAACCACATGGGTAGGAGAGTATAAGTGAAAGTTGAATTGTTTTTGTAGGTAAGGGCTCTCGATTAAAATTTAAAAAGGCACAGAAGATTTCCAGGCATTCAGAGCACTTGCTTGCCCGGTTGAGCAGCCTGAGTTACCCCACCATTCCTGTGCAGAGATCTCGATATAGAGCTCCCCTTTCTGCTCCACACTGAGGCAAATCTCCAGGCATATGGAATACCCACTCTCTTGGATTAGGATTTTAGCCTCCTCCACTTCCCTGTGCAGAGAATGTAGGGCCAAGAGAGATTCCCAGCTTCACACCTAGGCACACCTCTGAGCACTTGGTGGACTGCCCATTGTATTCTCCCTTAGTGCTAGTGCTTGTGCTGGCCCTCAGGAAACCTGTAGGCAGATCTGCCTGGTCAATTCCCACCTCTCTCACTTGTGCTCTCCCCACCGGGGCCTAAGAGGGAGCCCAGGCCACTGTGCACTCCATGAATCAGCTCATTGTCTGAGGAAACAAAGAGCCTCTGCCAGCAAACAAAGATCAAATATGTACACAGCTGTGTTTGTTGCAGCTGGCTTATACCTATAAGTGCCATCTACTAGCTTATAGGTTGAACTGCATAGCCCAATATAAAACCTGCTGATAGAAGTGCCTAGATCTACAGAGACAAGGTCAAAATAACCTACCCACCATTCTCTACATTTGCTCCCCTTAGGGAAGGGAGAAAAAGGAAAGGAAAAGAAAAAATAAAAATAGTACTATAAGAAAATAAAAACAAAAAAAATTGTACCTATGTGAAAATAATTAGAAAAATTAGAAGTGCAAGTATCTTCAGATGAGATAAAACGAATGCAAGAATTCTTGCACTATGAAAAATCAGAATGTAGTGATAGCATGAAAAGACCACATTAGCTTACCAGAAATGGCCCCTAAGCAAATTTAAACTCAGAAATGACAGATAAATAATTTAAAGCATGGATTGCAAGCAAGGTCAACAAGAACCGAGACAAGGCTGAAAAGTAACACAACAAAACTTTTAAAGCAATCCAGGAAATGAAGGAAGAGATACACATATTAAAAAGAAATTAATCAGAGCTTCTCGAATTCAAAAACTCAGTTAAGGAATTTCAGAATACAATTGAAAGCTTTTTCAATAGGCCAGACCAAACAGAAGAAGTAATTTCAGAGCTTGAAGACTAATCTGTAGAACTAACCTAGTCAGACAAAAATAGAAAAAGTAATTTAAAAATATGAACAAAATCTTCAAGAAATATGGAATTATGTAAAGAAAAACTAAATATAAATTATTGGCATTTCTCAGAGAGAAGAAAAAGTAAACAACCTGGAAATCATAGTTGAGAGAATAATCCAAGAAAATTTCCCCAATCTTGTCAGAGAGGTAGATATCCAGATGGAAGAAATTCAGAGAACACCTGTGAGATACTATTCAAAATAAACATCACCAAGGCATAGAGTCACTAGACTGTCCAAAGAAAGTATCTTTTTTTTTTTTTCTTTGAGACGGAGTTTCAGTCTTATCACCCAGGTTGGAGTGCAGTGGAGCAATCCTGGCTCACTGCAACCTTCGCATCCTGGGTTCAAGCGGATCTGGGTTCAAGCGCATCCTGGGTTCAGAAGAATCAAGCGATTCTCCTGCCTCAGCCTCCTGAGTAGCTGGGATTACAGGTGCCCGCCACCACACCCAGCTAATTTTTTGTATTTTTAGTAGAGACAGGGTTTCTCCATGTTGGGCAGGCTGGTCTGGAACTGCTGACCTCAGGCGATCCGCCCACCTCAGCATCCCAAAGTTCTGGGGTTATAGGCGTAAGCCACTGTGCCTGGCCAAAAGAAAATATCTTAAACTCAGCTAGAGGAAAAAGGTCAAATTCTTATCACGCTAATGGCACACTTCTCAGTAGACACTTTACAAGCCAAGAGATATTGGGGAAGTATTTTTAGCATTCTTACAGAAAAGAAATTCCGAGTAATAATTTTATATCACACAAAACTAAACTTTATAAAAGAAAGATAAATTATAATTTTTTCCAGAAAAATAAGTGCTAAGGAAATGAATTACCACTAGGCAAACCTTATAAGAGATCCTTAAGGGAGTTCTAAACATGGAAACAAAAGAACAATACCTGCTACCACAAAAACACACTGAAATATATAGTCCACAGACCCTATAAAGCAACCACACAATAGAAACTACAAAGCAACCAGCTAACATCTTCACAATCTAATCAAAACCTCACATATCAATGTTAACCTTGAATGTAAATGGTGGAAACAACCCACTTAAAAGGCACGTAGGTGCAAGTTGGATTTAAAAAATAAGACGCAACTATCTTCTATCTTCAGGAGACCCATCTCACTTGTAAAAACACCAATAGGCTTAAAGTAAAGGGTTCAAGAAAGATCTACCACACAAATGGAAAACAAAAAAGAGCAGTGGTCACTATTCAGATATCAGATAAAACAGACTTTAACAACATTAAAAAAGGACGAAAAAGGGCATTACATAATCATAAAAACTTCAGTTCAACAAGAAGGCTTAACTGTCATAAATATATATGCACTCAACATTGGGGAACCCAAATTTGTGAAACTAACACTTCTAGACTTACAAAAAATCTTAGACAGCCATGTAATAATATTCACAGACCTCAAATCCCAAGGTCAGCATTAAACAGATCATCAAGGAAGAAAACTTACAAATACTGGACTTAAACTCAGCACTTGGCCAATAAGACCTAAAAGACATCTGGAGGATGCTCCACCCATCAAACACAGAATATACATTCTTCCTGTCTGCACAGGGAACATACTCCAAGATCGCCACAAGCAAGTCTCAGTAAAGTAAAAAAAGTTGCAATCATACCAACCATACTTTTGTGCAACAGTGGAATAAACATAGACATCAATACCAAGATCTTTCAAAACCATTACATCTCACAACTATATGGAAATTAAACAACTTTCTCCTGAATGACTTTTGTGCTAACAATGAAATTAATACAAAAATAAAACAATTATTTGAAATAAATGAAAACACAGTCACAGCATACCAGCTGGGATCCAGCAAAAACAGTGTTAGAAAAAAGTTCATAGTGCTAAACACCTACCTTAAACGGTTACAAAGATCTCAAATAAATGATTTAACATCACACCTAGAGGGACTAAAAAAACCAGAACAAATTAACTGCAAAGCTAGCAGAAGAAAAGAGATAACA
The DNA here is from genome assembly GCF_000001405.40 of Homo sapiens. Lineage (NCBI taxonomy): Eukaryota > Metazoa > Chordata > Mammalia > Primates > Hominidae > Homo > Homo sapiens. Next base: position 89,059,232 of record NC_000013.11, on the reverse strand, counting down.
AAAATCAGAGTAGAATTAAATGATACTGAGACCCAGAAATCCATAAAAAGAATCAATGGAACCAAAACATGCTTCTTTTAAAAGATACACAAAATCAATTGACCACTAGTCAGATTAACAAGTAAAAGAGAATAACCAAGTAAGCACAATCAGAAATGACGTAAGTGTCATTACAACTGATCCCACAGAAATACAAAAGATCCTCAGTGACTACTATGAATAGCTTTATCACACAAACTACAAAATCTAGAAAAAATGGATAAATTCCTGGAAACACATAGTCTCTATTATTGAATTAGGAAGAAACTGAAATCATGAACAGACCAATATTGAGTTCTAAAATTGAAACAGTAATAAAAAATCAACCAATCAAAAAAAGCCCCAGACCAGATGGATTCACCATCAAAATGTACCAGCTATACTTTGTATAGCTGGTACCAATTCTACTGAAATTATTTCATAACATCAAGGAGAAGGGACTCCTCCCAAACTCATTATATGAAGCCAGCATCACCTTAATACTAAAACTTGGCAAAGACACAACAACAACAAAAAATTTAAAGGTAAATATCCCTGATGAACATAGAAACAAATATCCTCAACAAAATATTAACAAACTGAATCCAACAACACATCAAAAAGTTAATTTGTCACAATCAAGTAAGCTTCATTGCTGGGATGTGAGGTTATCTTAACATATGCAAATCAATAAATGTGACTCATTTCATGAACAAAATTAAAAACAAAATCCACATGATCATCTAAATAGATGCAGAAAAAGTTTTCAATAAAATTGAATACTCCTTCATGATAAGAACCTCAAGAAAATAATCATCAAGGGAACATACTTCAAAATAATACGAACCATCTATACTTCAAAAAAATACGAGCCATAGCCAACATTGTACGGAATGGAAAAAAACTGGAAGCATTCTCCTTGAAAACTGCAACAAGACAAGGATGCCCACTCTCACCACCCTTCTTCAACGCAGGATTGGAAGTGCTAGCCAGAGCTATCAGGCGAGAGAAAGAAATAAAAACATTCAAATAAGAAAAGAAGATGCCAAGCTATCTCCCTTTGCTGATGATATGATTCTATACCTATGACACCCTATGGACTCTGCCAAAAGCTCCTGGGACTGATTAACAACTGCAATAAAGTTTCAGAATACAAAACCAATATACGGTAATCAGTAACATTTCTACACACCAATAACATTCAAGTAGAGAGCCAAATCAGGAATGCAATCTCATTTACAACTGCCACAATTAAAATAAAACACTTAGGAATAAATCTAACCAAGGAAGTGAAAAATCTCTACAGAGAAATCTACAAAACACTGTTAAAAGAAATCACAGATGAAACAAACAAGTAGAAAAAAATTCCATGCTCAGGATTGGAAGAGTCAATATAATTGCAATGGTCATATTTCCCAAAGCTATATACAGATTCAATGTTATTCCTATTCAACTACCAATAACATTTTTCACAGAATTAGAAAATATATTATAAAATTCATATTGAAGCAAAAAAGAGCCCAAATAGCCAAACTATCTTAGCAAAAAGAACATAACTGGAGGTATCACATTACCTGACTTCAAACTATGCTATAAGGCTACAATAACCAAAACAGCATAGCACTGGTACAAAAGCCAACACATAGTTCAATGAAACAGAATAGAGAAACCAGAATAAAGCCATACACCTAAAGCCATCTTATCTTTGGCAAAGTCAATAAAAATAAGCTATAAGGAAAGGACTCCCTATTCAACAAATGGTGGTGAGATAGCTTGCTAGCTGGTTAGCTATATGCAAAAGAGTGAAACTGGACCCCTCCCTTTCACTATACACCAGATTGACTCAAGGCAGATCAAAGACTTAAATGTAAGACCTCAAACTATAGAATCCTAGAAGAAAACCTGGGAAACACTATTCTGGACATCAGCTTTAGGAGAGAATTTGTGACTAAGTTCTGAAATACAACTGCAACAAAAATAAGAATTAAACTAGCTCTGCCAAGCAAAAGAAACTATCAACAGAGTAAAGAGGCAACCTACAGAATGGGAGGATATATTTGCCAACTATGCATCCAACAAAATCCAATATCCAGCATGTATAAGGAACTTGACCAATTACACAAACAAAAACAACCCCATTAAAAAATGGGCCAAAGACATGAATGGATACTTCTCAAAAGAAGACATACAAGCAGGCAACATATAAAAAATGCTGGGCATTACTAATCATCAGAGGAATGGAAATGAAAACCACAGTAAGACACCACCTCACACCAATCAGAATTGCTATTATTAAAAAGTCAAAAACAACAGATGATTGTGAGACTGTAGAGTAAAGGGAACACTTATACATTGTTAGCGAGAATGTATAATAAATTAGTTCAGCTGTTGTGGAAAGCAATTTGGAGATTTCTCAAAGAACTTAAAACAGAGCTACTATTTATCCCAGGAATCCCATTACCGGCTATACATCTAAAAGAAAACAAATCCTTCTAACAAAAAGATACATATACTCACATGTTCATTGTAGCACTATTTGCAACAGCAAAGACATGGAACCAAACCAGGTGCCCATCTGTGGACTGGATAAAGAAAATGTACATATACTCACCCCATGAAATACAACACAGCCATAAAAACATGAAATCAAGCCTTTTGCAGAAACATAGATAAAACTGAAGGCCATTTTCCTAAGGAAATTAATGCAGAAACAGAAAACAAAATATCACATGTTTTCACTTATAAGTGTGAGCTAAACAATGGGTAGTCATGGACATAAAGATGGGAACAATAGAAATTGGGGATACTAAGGGAGAAGGAAAGGAGTGGGGGCAAGTGTTGAAAAACTATTGGGTACCATGCTCACTACCTGGATGACAGAATCATTTGTATCCCCAAACCATGGCATCACGCAATATACCCAAGTAATAAGCCTGCATATGTACCCCTCAAACATAAAACAAAAATTAAAAAATAAAAGAGGATAAAAAAAATGGGACCTGAGTCTTGGTATAGAAACCGTGTTCCTCCTATACCCTCTTGGCTGTAGAAATGCTTCTTATATTCCCAATTGGACAATGCCTTCACCTTGAAGTCCAATACAGGCTCTCAGGATCCTCCATAACACCTCTTCCACTGCTGCCAGAACAATAACCAAGGTCAAGTCACAATGTAGCATGTCAGAGTTATCCTGGGTTTGCACAGAAGGAAAGGAACTCTATTAAATGGTGCTGCAGAACCTTGTGTACAGGGAACAAGAGAGTATCAGTATCATAAGAATCCAAAGAGATCACATGAGATGGGATATAATCTTAAAATGGAGTACTTTTCAAAAGGTGGTCACTGGCCCAAGATACGTAAAGTAAACTCCAGATAAGAATTAATGTGCTATTATTATTTGGATCTTGGAAACATGGAAAAGCAATGGCCCCCACTAAGAAAAATAGAAATGCCTGACATGGCATTTGTGACCAGTCACGGCAGACGATAAAGGGGGTAAACAACAGGCTTAGAGAAGTAGACATCCTACATTGAATGTATCATATCCGGCCAGAACATGCATCAGCAATACATTCAGGAGGAGAACCTGGAGAACACGTTTTTAACTAACTGAAAAAGAACACGCTGGTGGGGCGTGGGCATTAGCATTGTTGAGAAGTTCAAAGATAATTGTCATCTGTAGACTAGGGCTAAGGAAGAGATAGTTTTATAACTGGGGTATATTCGAGCACTTGGTGATGATATAATCTCAAATTCATGGAGGTTAAGAGATAAGGTTTAACCATAAAAAGCAAAATAAGTTCAAAAATAGAAGTGAGCAACAAAGTCAGAGTGGCAGCCTGTTCCACAAAGAGAACAAGGTTGTTCAACAAAGAGCTTTGAAGATGGTTATTGGAATATGTAATATTTAGGGACAAGCAAAATCGACAGCCAGCAATTGTATTTCTCAAGTTAAGCAGCCAACAGAAATCAAGGATGGATTGTCAGGAATCTGAGAACAGACACCCTGATGAAATGCAATGCTTCTTAGCCTGATTTCTTGACCTTAGCCAGTTTTCAGACCCACAGCTTGTTGAGTAAAGGAAAAACCCGATTCCTATGACGAAAGACTCGGGAGCAACCATGGTAATATCTGGCAATTATTTCCCAAGTTCTTTCTCAAAGACATCCACAGCCATTTATTAAAACAATGGTAAAGGACATTTTCACACATTTAAAGGGCTATTGAAAACATCGTTCACCCTATGTTTATTCCCAGGGAGCCACAGAATTATCCCATTATATTCTCCTCTTCAGTTGATTGAGGACAAATAGGGGCTCTGTCATAAGGGAATAGCAGAACCAGATTCTTCTCATGGTGGGTCCACTCTACAATAGATTAATTCTTGGGACATATAATTAGAATTGTCCTATTTGATTATTAAGAGAAAATTTAAACTAAAAATCTCTAACATAGCCACCCCCTGAAACCCAGAAAAGATGCTCAATCTAAAATAATATCAGATCTCAGGGGAATGGCCTAGTTCAGTGTCACCTTAAGATTTAGAGCATGCTGAGGTGATGGTTCCTATGATATTACACATTAATTCATTATTTTTGACCTTTGAGAAAATAGACATGGCAGATAGTCTTTGACTGTTATACACTCAACCAAGTAATAGCCTCAATTTCAGTTCTCGACAGGATTTTTTTTTTCTCTCAAAAGAGAGTAACACAATTTTGTGCACATAATATATGGCTGTTGATTTGGCATGTATGTTCTTTCACACCAGGAAGGTCTTTTATATCCATGTCAAAAAGGAGCCTCAAAAGTAACTCACATTTACACAGAGCTACAATACAATTCTGAATTCAAATACAATTTTAAAATTAGAATACCATTTTGTCCTTATTCAAGAACTGTGGTGATTCTCCTGCCCTGTATTATAACATTCTGAAGAGACAATGTCTACTTTGATATCCTTGGCCCATTATATTGACAGCATCATATAAATAAGAACATATGTGCAAAAAGTAAAATTACATTGAAGGTTTTATTAGGACCCATGGTAAAGAAAGTGGAAGATAAATCCTATGAAAAGCTCGTAAACAGTAAAGGCCACTGCAACACATCCAAACAGCCATGCAAGCAGTCATACACTTGGACCATGTAATGCAGTTGGCTCTTTGGTACCAGGCTATCTGTGGTGGGACCAGACATTATGGTGGTACTTATGGAAAATCCCAAGGGGTTATTCACATTTCTTGGGTCTGGAATAATGTTGGAAAAGGAGCTTCCAGAGAGTTACTGGGCCTTGGTAGATACTGAATCATGAAACCACAAGTGATCATATAGCTAGCACTGCCAATCACGAAGCAATGCCATAATGTGCTGGTGTAACAGAAATCCACTGTAATATTAATGTGGAAAATTCAGTATTAGGCACAAGCAGGTCCAGAGGGCACAAATAAGCTGCATGAACTGGTGCCCAACAACATGCCATCCCGAAATTGTTACAATGATGTCCCTCTACTGCTCACATCTACTAGCATGTGGTATTTTCTTATAATGAGCTGAAAGAGGAGGGGTGGGATTCTCTGATGAGTCAGCACAGTTTGTGCTGAATTTGCAATTGTATTGCACTATAGACTTGCTCAGAGGTATAGTGAGGCTGTAATAATACAAAACAAAGGAGTTAGGCAAAATTACCCCAGTGGCCAGAGCTTTGAGTGTACCTGTATTCATTCATTCCAAGTAGAAAAAGAGCTGGCTTATGGTTAGAATACACATAGAGTCAAGGGTAGCCACAAATAGCTTGGATGGTTGGTTAGAAGCTATCAAGGACAGCCAGACGCGGTGGCTCACGCCTGTATTCCCAGCACTTTGGGAGGCCAAGGCGGGCGGATCACGAGGTCAGGAGATCGAGACCTTCCTGGCTAACACGGTGAAACCCCGTCTCTACTAAAAATACAAAAAATGAGCTGGGCATGGTGGCGGGCACCTGTAGTCCCAGCTACTCAGGAGGCAGAGGCAGGAGAATGGCATGAACCCGGGAGACGGAGCTTGCAGTGAGCCAAGATGGCACCACTGCACTCCAGCCCGGGTGACAGAGTAAGACTCCGTCTCAAAAAAAAAAAAAAAAAAAAAAGAAGCTAGTAAAGACAAAGATGAAAAGCTAAGGCATAAGGGGGCGTGTAAGAAAAAAAAAGTTTGTGAGTGGACTTAACAGAGTGGGTGCAAAGTGAGAGAACTTTGTATTTCATGTGAACTTACATCATGGATTACCTACCACGGAAGAGGTACTAAACAACAAAGTAGAATGAATGACTCAGCCAGTTTATATCAGTCAGTTTCAGTCATCTTATATTCATTACCCTAGATGAATTAAGTAGCTGATGACAGAGATTTGAAGCTATGAGTGGTTACAATAGCATAGATTTTTTTTCACCAAGGTGGATCTATCCACTGGGACTGCCAAAGTCCAACTTGCCAACCATGGAAAAAACTCTTGAAGAGAGAATCTAGTGTTGCTGGCGAGTTGATTGTGTCAAATGCTTTCCAGCACAAGGAAGCAGTGAATTCACAAGGAAGAGTGAATTATCTTGACTGGAATCAATACATACATTGCAGACATAGATTTCCTTTTCCTGTCAGTGCTGCTTTCTGAGAGCTGATAGTGTAAAACTTTAACACTATAAAGTTTTGTGAAAACTTTATATAGAACTCAGTCGCTTTTTAACTCATACTTCTTGAAGGATAAAGCTTATATGTTTATATATATATATATATATATATCAATTTAACTCCTCTCAATAGTATGTCTATTTATCTTTTTTATTTTTCTCTTCATTATTTCATACATATCAAAATTTACATCCAGAATTATTTTCTTTCTGCCTTAAAAACATCCTTTAGATTTATTTTTAATAATTGTTTCCAGTGGAAAATGCTATACTTTAACTTCTTTGGTCCTACTCAATTTTATTTTTGAAAACTAATATTTCTGGTTGAAAAGTATATTTTCTCTGCATTTTGAGTACATGGTGTTGATCATTCCTGGTGTCTGTTGTTGAGAAGTCCAACAACATTTTATATTCTGACTCTGAATATATTCCTCCCTTCCTCTCTTTCTCTTTACCTATTTATTTATTTTCTTAATTTTGCTTTTTGCCTTATAAAACTATTTCTGAATGTTTCTACATTTCTGTGTAGTCAGGACTTTCTGAGAAGATCTTGCAGAAAATAAAAATGACAGAAAAGATAATCAGAATTCCAGAGACATTTATTTCCCTCAATGTGTGTATTCACATTTCAAGGGTGATTGGAAATTGGGACCACAAAGATGTCTGTAGATTGTAAGGCTAGAGACACTGGTCTTATCTTCTGCTAGGAGATGTGTATTTACATTGCAAATGTTAAGGTCCCTAAATGTTTTCCCTTTCTATTCTGAAGGGGAATTTGTTTTAAGAGAAATCAAAACGTTTCTCTCCATTTATCAAGAGGGTTGGGGTTGGGGTGCACAGGTCTCTCTCTCTCTCTTACGTTAACACCCAGATTCAGATTTTGTTGACTCCTGGACTATCTTACAAACTCCAGTGTCTACAAGGTGACATCTCACCTGGCTCTCATATTCACCCCTGAAGGTGAATACTAAACATGAGGAATCAGCATGATTTTCTGCTAAAAGTCAAAAATTATCTGTTGTATTCCAAATACCAAATGTTTATGTTCGCATTCAAATAATGTAAAGAAACATAGATATTAAATATATACATTATAAATATAGATATTAAATATAGATGGTAAATTTACATGAAATTAGTATATAATATATTATATAATTAAAAATTCAGATAGGTAATATAACATAATATATGCATATAATTATAAAATAATTACTATATTATTATAAATTATGGCATATATACAATATATTGTAAATAAAACATAAATAATAGGTAAGTTATAAACAAATGAGCCAAATATGAAAAACAAATACAGCATTACAAAGTAAATATATAAGATAAAATACAGCTTAAATATAATATGAACAAAGATATTAAATATAACACCTATAGGTATATAAAATAAATATAAATATTAAAATACTTAACATTAACTTAATGTTAATAAACATAGATATTAAAATCAACTCTTGGATTTCTTTTTGCATATCTTAATTTTTTGTTGTATAACCTGAATGTTTTGTTATTGTATAATTTGAATGTTTTGATTGTTGTCTCACCATTTCTGAAAATGTTTCCAATGTTAATTTGACAATTAGGACTGTGTCCGTTTGTTATATTCTTCCTTTTGAGAACTCCAGTTAGGTTTATATTACATACATTACACATTATCCCTCCATATCTTTAGCTTCTGCTTCATATTTTCCATTTCTTTGATATCAGTGTTCCATTTGGAAACATTTCTTCAAATATATCTCCCAGTTTATTAATTCTCTCATCAGCTATAGTTAAACTGCCATGAAGCCTGTGTATTGATTTCCCATTTCAATTATTGAATATTTTATTTCTGAAAGTTCTAATAGCTCATTTCTCAAGTCTGACTAATGAGTCAATATATATTCTCTTTATTCTGTGTTTAAAAACATGTATTTTTTATTTTTGAAAATAGTAATTACACTTATTTTTCATTTTGTATTTTCAAAGACCAATAACTAAAGTAAATAATTGGCCTTTGAGAATATAAAATGAAACCCAGCAGCACTCATTCTGCTGGTTTTTTACTTATGACAGCTTATTTTCTCGTGTGCTTAATAAATTCTTATCCTGAGTTGTTAAATTTAATTGGAAACTTATTTGTGATATTAATTTGAGTTTGACAAGATGTAACGGCCTCCACAAAAAACTCATCATTACATATAATGATTAACTAATGCCTTTCCCAAGAATCAATTTCTCCTCATTTTTTGTTTAATAATTTTGGACCGCTATACATCTATGTAAAGAGTGGTCTATGATTAAAATTTTTCAGAAATGAGGTTTTGCTCTTTTCCCTTCTAATTTCTGATCAAGGCTAAGGTGAGTGATTTCCCTTAAATTTCCAAGAATATGGGTGAGGTTATTTTACATCATATTATTTTATGTTCACCCTTAATGTATCTATAGTTTTATAGAGGTAAATTCTCTTATTCAACTCATACAAGGTTGAAACTCGGGTTTTATTTTTGAATCCCAAATTCCATAAACTGATTGAAATACAAATCCCTTTTTTTAATTCTGCAATTATCTTATAGTCAAGCCCTCTGCAACGTCCTGTTTATTTCTCTCAGTTACCAATTTTTGTTAGATTTAGCCTGATAATACGGAAAATTTTAGTAAGCCTATTGAATTGACCATATTTTAAAATATCGTGAGCATTGTTCTCTTTCAAAGGATTCATCCAAGTGTACTTGTCCAAGTGTACTTAGTCAATAGTCTTCTAATCAATCACACCTTAATTAACCCAGAGTTTTTGCTTTGGTACCAAAGATGGACTTGAATATATTCTCGATCACCTGCTTTGGTCAACTGCCCCTTCTATTTGTGAACTTTCAATTTTAAAACACTAACCTTAAAACTAAATTTTTTACTATCCACTTTGAAAGCAATCATTTATCATTTATGTGAAATAAGAAAACAAAATCCTTTATATTGCATCAACCACCTTTGGCTCTCCTTTTGTCTTTCAACTTATATAACTCTATGGCTACTTTAACATTGCCAAGGTTTTTAATTTTTAGAATCTGTTCATTAAGTGCATTTCTCTTCAATTTTTTTTCTGTAGGTTGATTGAGAAGGTAAATAATCTTAATAACAATCGTGATATAAGTTTTATGTCACTATTTTTGTCTGTAGTATCATTTAATCATAAAGTAGAAACTTGCAGATTTAGGTTGCTTAGCCTATAAAGTATAAATTTAGATTTCAAGCCTTCAAGCTCTTGAATACAGAGCATATGCTTTTGACTTATAGCTTGATTAATTCATGTACTATGTGTGTATGAGTGCATGTTTTCTTTATCTGATAGGTCAATTAAAATACACTAAATAAGCTGTATTAATCACTTATATGTTAGACCCACAGAAAAGAAAATCAGTCATATGCACCTTAGATCTCTGTTCCTCTAAGGAAATTGTTCTAGAAAGCAATGTCAACTCAGTTTTCTTTTTGTAAATCATAACAGTTATTTAAATATTTTGTATTAGTTTACTTTTTTTAAAAAATATTTATTTATTTTACTTTAAGTTCTGGGATACAAGTGCAGGACGTGTAGGCTTGTTAAACAGGTATACATGTGCCATAGTGGATTGCTGCACCTATCAACCCACCATACAGGTTTTAAGCCCCACATTCATTAGCTATTTGTCCTAATGCTCTCTCCCCCCTCAGCCCTTATCCCCTGACTGGCCCTGGTGTGTGTTTCTCCCCATCATGTCCATGTGTTCTCATTGTTCAACTCGCAATTATGAGTGAGAATATGCGGCGTTTGGTGTTCTATTCCTGTGTTAGTTTGCTGAGGATGATGGCTTCCAACTTCATCCATGCCCCTGCAAAGGACATAATCTCATTTCTTTTTATGGTTGCATAGTATTCCATGGTGTACAGGTACTACATTTTCTTTATCCAGTCCACTGTTGATGAGAATTTGGGTTGGTTCCGTGTCTTTGCTATTGTAAATAGTGCTGCAATAAACATATGTGTCCATGTGTCTTTGTAGTAGAATGATTTATATTCCTTTAGGTATATACCCAGTAATGCAATTGCTGGGTCAAATGGTATTTCTGATTCTAGATCCTTGAGGAATCTCCACGTTGTCTTCCAATTTACATTACCACCAACAGTGTAAAAGCGTTTCTATTTCCCCACAGCCTCATCAGCATCTATTGTTTCTTGACTTTTTAATAATCACCATTCTGACTGGTGTGAGACAGTATCTCACTGTGGCTTTGATTTGCATTTAATTTGCTTTTGTATTTGAAATGAGCTTTTATAAGATGAATTTTGTTTAGCATGCAAACACATGCTACACGTGCAAACACAAAGTCTGCAAAATTTTCAACACCTGTGTTTTTCTCTAACAGAGAAAATATATGCCTACTTTCCCAAAACAATATAATTTTTGTCCTCCTAATCATTCATTTTCAAAAAAATATTTTTGGTGAGAAAATGTATTGATAACCCTGTGAATTCCTCTTGTAATACAAATCTGTTGTTGCACAGATGTTTACTGTATATTCCAGCTGAGGAGCCTATATTATTTCTCTGTTTCTTTCAAATAATCTTTAGAAAGTTGTACATATTCTTTACACAAGTGATGAACAACAGGAAAACTCTCTGAGTCCTTGATTTTCTCAGTGATATTTTTATGTTGTCTATTAGTTTAAACTTTTTATTTGGTATTTCAATAAGAAACCTGAGCACAAACAACCTGCCTTCAAAAAGGCTCTGCTACATTTTATTTTAGTGTTCAGTATTGCTCATAAGGCTGATCTTATTAAGATAATTTGTTTCTTGTTTGTTTGTTTTTTGTTTTTGTTTGTGGTTTTTATTTTGAGATGGAGTCTTGCTCTGTTGCACAGGCTGGAGTGCAGTGGCGTGGTCTCGGCTCACTGTAACCTGTGCCTCCCAGGTTCAAGCGATTCTCCTGCCTCAGCCTCCCGAGTAGCTGGGATTACAGGCATGCGGCATCACACCCAGCTAATTTTTTGGTATTTTTTAGGAGAGACAGGGTTTCACTATATTGGGCAGGCTGGTCTCGAACTCCTGACCTTGTGATCTGCCTGCCTCGGCCTCCCAAAGTGCTGGGATTACAGGCGTGAGACACCATGCCCCAGCCAAGATAAAAATTTTAAAGCTATTGTACATACCACGCAAATTTTTAGAATTATTTATTAGTGAAGTTGTGTAATTTATTTTGGATATGTTTTCCTGTGCACTTTCCATATTACATTCACCTAGCTGAAGACTAAATGAATGACTTTAGTATAATGTTATATTTTTATTCAATTGAGTGATATTTACAAACCTAAATGTTGTAACCTACTACACACCTAGGCTATATGGGGCAACCTATTGCTCCTAAGCTACAAAGCTGTAGAGCATGTTACTGTAGTCAATAATGTAGACAAATATAATAGTAAATACTTGTGTATCTAATCATAAAATAATTACAGGAAAAATACAATATTATATTACTCCATCATTATCCAAAACGTCATTGTGTGGCACATGACTATACATACTTTGATCCTTGAACAAAATTGATTCAAACGGGGTGGGTCCACTTATATGTAATTAAAATATATATATATATATATATATATATTTTATTAGGTAGTATCTATTTTATTAGGTACTACCATAAATCTATTTTATTAGTACTACCATAAAAATAACCAAATCTATAATAAAAAGTTAATATTTATCAAAGCACACATACTGTACATACGCTGCTTACAGTAGAAATGTAAACAAACATAAGTAGTAAGTCATTACTACTTAAAATTAACTGTAGTACAGACTGTAATACTGTAATAATTATGTAGCCACCTCTTGTTGCTATTGCAATGAGCTCAAAAGTTTCAAATATTCACTTAAAATGCTGTGTGATGCTATCTCTTTTTTCTCCAGTGAATTTGTGTATCACAGTAAAAAGTGATCTCACAGAGTTCTCGCCATGTTATAAATCATATTTAGTGCAATAAGTTAAATCTTAAATAACATTATGGGACCCTCATAAAATGTCACTAGTGATGCTGGAGGTTTTCCCAATAAGCCAATAAAAGTCATTGCATTGCAAGAAAAAGTTAAATTACTTGGTACGTACCATAGGTTGAGGTCTGCAGCTGCAGTTGACGGCCATGTCAAGATAAACGAACCCAGTGTAGGCACTATAGAAAGAAAAAAAATGTAAAGCCATCACTGTAGCTGTGCCAACCAGCACACAAACCTTGCAGTTTTTGCAAAATACCTTTTTATCTCATATTAAAATTGCAGCTTTTATGTGAGTACAGGATTGCTATAAGAAAGGCGTACTAACAGAATCTAAAATGAATTTTTTAAAAAGCAACATCATTATATGACATCTTAAAGCAAAAGGAAGGTAAAGCATATTAAGCTGGATAATTTAACACCAGTAAAGGATGGTTTGACAATTTTTAAAAAGGTTTGGCTTTAAAAATGTCAAGATTAGCAGGAAAAGCAGCTTTTACTGACGAAGAGGCAGGAGAAGAATTCCCAGAAGCCCAAGATAATTGAGGAGAAGAAATATCTGCTGAATAGGTTTTTAATTTAGACAAAAGTGCCCTATTCTGGAAAAAAAAATGCCACAAAGGACATTTATTAAGAAGGAAGAGAAGTGAGCACAAGAATTTAAGACATTTAGTAGATGAGCTCTATTGTTTTGTGCAAATGCAGTTGGGATTATAATCAGGACTGCCCTTATCTACAAAACTGCTAACTCTAGAGCCATGAAGGAAAAAGATAAACATCAGCTGCTAGCCTTTTTATTGTACAATATGAAGACCTGGGCAATAAGAAACTTTTTCTGAATTGTTTTCAGTGACGCTTTGTCCCTGAAGTGAGGAATTACTTTTTCAGTAAGGGACTGACTACTTTTAAAGTTCTTTTGATATTGGACAAAGCCTTGGCCGTTCAGAACCCCATGAGTTCAACACAGAAGGCTTCAAAATAGTCTACTTGCCCTTAAACACACATCCTTAATTCATCCTCTAAATCAGGGAATCTTAAAAACCTGTAAGACTCATTACACTTAATTCTTTGTAGCAATGACTGTCAAAACTGTAGAAGAGAACCCTGATACAGAGAACACCATGCAAGTCTAGAAGGATTACAACATTTAAGGTGCCAACATTGTTCCAGAAAAAGCAGTGAAAGCCATGAAGCATGAGACAATAAATCCCTGAAGAAGAAAACTGTGTACAGATATTGTGCACCCCTTCCCAGGATTTCCAACAGAACCAATCAAGAAAATCATAAAAGAGATTGTGGATATAGTGAAAAAGACGCAGGTGGTCAAGACTTTCAAGATAAGGATTTTGGAGAAAATCAAAAGTTAATGGAAATGAAAACAGAGGATTTAACAGGTGATGACTTGATGCAGATGAATGCTTCCAAATCAGGGCCAGATGATGAGGAAGAAGAGAATAAGAGGTAGAAGAAGCAGTGCCAGAAAACTAATTGATATTAGACAGTCTGTCAAAAGGGTTCCAACTATTCAGGACTGCTTTTGACAGTTTTTTTTTTTTTTTTTTTTTTTTTTTTTTTTTTTTTTTTTTACTACACGGACCCTTCTATGATAAAAGCACTGAAACTAAAGCAAACAGTGGAAGAAAGATTGCTACTATAATATACACAAGCATTTTTAGAGAAATAAGCAAAAATTCAGGCAGATATTACCGTGTATTTCTGTAAAGTTACACTGAGTGTGTCTGCCTCTTCCGCCTCCCCTTCCACCTCCTCCACTTCTTCTGTCTCTGCCACCCCAAGACAAGAGCAACTCCCCTTTTTCCTCTTCCTCCTCAGTCTACTCAGTGTGAAGATAACAAGGATCAAGATCTTTATTAAAATGATACACTTCCACTTGACCAATAGTAAGTATATTTTCTCTTGTGATTTTCTTAGTAACATTTTTTCTCTAGCTTACTTTATTACAAAATACAGCATATAATATACACAACACACAAAATATTTGTTATTCAGCTGTTTATGTTGTAGGTAATATTTCCAGTCAACAGTAGGCTATTAGTAGTTGTTTTGGAGAAGTCAAAAGTTATACACAGATTTTCGACTGGGCAGGGGGTCAGTGACCCTAACCCCCACATTCAAGGCTCAATTGTGTGTATATATACACAGAGCATAGTCCTCACCTAATGCCATGGATAGATTCTTGGAAATTGTGACTTCAAGCAAAATGATGCATAACGAAACCAACTTTACTATAGGCTAATTGATAACAGCAAGAGTCAAGTTCCTATCGCATATATCTGTCAGAAAAAGATAAAACACTTCTGATATAAAACATTAAAATGAATTTGAGCTATATGTACATTTAAGGAAAATTAATAAAAAGCAGGATAATGATATACCCAATTATTGCACTTCAGGTTCGTGGGTGGCTGGAGTCGATCCCAGCAGCTAAGGATGCAAGGCAGGAATTTAACCCCTAGCAGAACGCCATCCCATGGCAGGATGCACTTACAGACACCCACATTCACTCACACTGGGCAATTTGCACATGCCGATTAACCAAATACGCACCGCTTCGTGATGTGGGAGGAAACTGGAGTACTTGGAGAAGACCCACACAAACATGGGGAGAACGTGAGAACTTCACATAGACGGGGGACCCTATCAGGAATCATTTATTTTTCTCATCAATGTTATAAAGAAATGTTGCTAGTCAAAGACCTGACATATACATATATGGTTTATATACATACATACATAACTGTTTATCCATATATAAGTATATGGAAAACATAGACATGGAAAAACGTATGCATATATGTGGAATATACATATACACATACATTTATGCAAAACATATATATGTACATATATGGAAAACATACATATATAATGAAAATAAAATATATATCTTTTGTATATAAAATATAAGATAAAATATATATATAATAAATACATATAAAAATAAAAGATATATATGGAAAAAGAGTTCTGCTTTTTCTTTTCATCTCAATCTGCTTTTTACTTTTAAAAAGCAGCATTTCAATCTGCTTTTAATTTTAATCTCAATCATCTCAATTTCCTATTCTCAGCATAGATAATTTTTGTATTCAGAACGAAAACAAAGCAGTTATCTGAAAAATTACAAAAGCTGCTTTAAGGAATATGGAGTTCTTTATCTAATGATAGGTGATTATTTATGATTGGAAAGAGCTCTTTAATTTTTCTCAGAAATGGAATAAAAGAAGTCTACCGTGGGCTCCATGCACATTAAAGTAAACTCAAATAATTGCTTCTCCCACCTGCACAATACCCTTGGTCAGATATGTCATCTGACATGCTTAAGACATGTACAGTATTGATCGTTTCATATATTTTAAATAATAAACATAGTATTTTGTTCCAAGAACAGCGACTGAAAATACAGGAAAGAGCAGTGCACGCCATGAAGCATGAAACAATAAGTTCCTGAAGAGGAAAACTGTGTATCAAATAAGAACTCTCTACACAAATACAGTGGCTACTGTTTATGTGAGCTCTTGTTTCTCCCCATGTATGTGTGAGTCTTTCCCAGGTACTCCAGTTTCCTCCCACATCACAAAACTGTGCATATTCGGTTAACTGGCATGTGTAAATTGTGCCAATATGAGTGAATGTAGGTGTCTGTGAGCGCACCCTGCCATGGGTTGGCGTTCCCAGGGTGAAATTCCTGCCTTGCACCCTGAACTGCTGGGATAGGCCCCAGCTATTATAGATAGATATAGATAGATAGATAGATAGATAGATAGATAGATAGATAGATAGATAGATTCAATATAGTTATAGATCTGTCAGTCTATATCTACATCTATATCCATATCGATATCATTTCTGCTTGCAAATTCTACTCCCTCTATCTTAACTACTCGCCTCTCATCTCTGCCACTGCAACATGACATTAACCATAGATGTAACCCAGGGAATATCTCCATGTTCCTAAAACAAAAATTAAAAGCTCTGTTTATGAACATTGAGCTTTGAATTTCATATATTTTTATGTTGTGAAATCGTATTTAAATTTTTTTACAACTATTTAAAACTGCAAATGTATTCTTACCTCACCAGCTACACAAAAACTGGTGTTGGGCTGGATTGTCTGCTGGGACCAAACTTGTCAACCCCTACCATATATGAAGATAAGAGAAGGCTCATTCATGTAGAGGGCTGCTCGGGGTTTTTATTTTATTCTGTATGCCTAAACACACATGTCTCTGAACAAATCTGTCTTCTGATGGCATTTCTCACCAAGAATTTTGTGCATGTAGGGGAAGCAAGTATTTGGATTTACTTTAATGTGCGTGGAGCCCACAGCAGACTTTTTTTTCCCTCTCACTTCTGAGGCAGATTGAAGAGATGTTTCCAGTAATAAATAATTGCCTACATAAGGATTCCATATTTCCTAAGGTAGCTTTTTAATTTTTTCAGATAATTCCTTTGTGTTTTGTTCTGAATACAAAATTTATCTGTGATGATAATAGAAGATTCAGATGAAAATAAAAAGCAGAACTGTTTTTCCTCTAGACAGCCTGTGAATTACCTACCATGATTTTTTTTCCTTGCACAAGCAACTGTCCTTCTCTACCTCTTTTGAGCATAGGGACAAACAATCATCTTGGCTTCTGTCTCCTCTGGAATGTGTTTCAGGCTGTGGCTTCCAATGTGCGAACCAGTGTGTTTTGTGCTTTGAGAAATTCTCCAAAATATGTAAATATTTATACTTCTTTTACCATTATCCTCACAACACACAAACATGCACTCCATCTCCATACTATTATAGATTTTTCAATTATTATTCACAAAGATTTGGGGGAGGTAAACATGTATTTTCAGTTAACATTCTTAAAATGATATACCATGTTTATTATTTAAAATATACTTTATTAAATAATCAATGTTGAACATGTCTTAATCATTTCTGAAGCAAGTTTCTATATTTTATTCCTTAGTAATTTTTATTAGACAGTAGTAGCAAATTTAAATAATAATACTGATGATCTGAGAGCATATTAAACGCAAGACTAAGGCAAATCTGTTAGGAATTAGTGAAAAGATCGGTAGTATAATTGTGTAGCAGTTGTATTACTACCATTTTCAAAAGAAAAAAATATATACATAATTATACACATACATAATTTATTGATCATTCCTGATAACTCTGAAATATATTGTATCTGTATGGATATTCATCTATCAATCTGAAGTTATAATTACAGAAAAGTTACTTTTTTACATTTCCAACAGCCTTGAGATTGACTTCAGAGCTAATACTTTTAAAGAAAAGTATAAAATAATAATTCTATGCACAAATATAGTTGCCTTGTTTTTCTTTTGGTTTATTCTATTCTTTTATGCATAATTGCCAAGATTTATATAATACCAAACTAAATATATAGTTTTAGGCAAAAAATGGTTATCAATATTATAATTTTATATGTAAAATTATACATCATAATGACTTAAACTTCTTTCACAGAATAATACCTATAGACAAGAGTAGGCACTTCATTCATACAATATTTGTGAAACTTTCCTGGAAAAATACACACATATATATATACACACACATATGTATACATATACATATCCCGGTCATGTACATAGTTCTATATATATATATATTTTTTCCTTATATATGTGCATATATATGTATAAATATGTATATATGTATATACATATATACATATGTTGAGAGGATGTGTTTATATATATATGTGTGTGTAAATATATGTGTTTTACTGGAAAGTTTCTATATATATAGAAATAAAAATTTGTTATGCTTTACTGATGAAGTTTTATGCCATCATTATGAGTCATTGCAATTACACTAAAGGTGTTGCTGTCAATTGTGGGTTTTCTAATGCACAGAATTTCTTAGGACACAAAATCATTTTGCCAGTTGTGTAAATACTGAATTGTTTTTTAAGTTGCAGTAATTTTTTCATGTCATAAATGTTTGATGTATTATCGTCATCATTTGAATAGCTATCATGTAACATTATTTTTCTTAAATATTCTTCAATTTCAAAAATATGATGCAAATAATCCAGAAAAGGGATAATTAGAGTGCTATTGCATTATGCTATACTATTCTTGACAACAAAAGACCAATCTGTAGGTTTCCGACTAGAAAGCCATTATATTAAAATATAACCTCAGATCACACTGTCAGTCTCACTGTCTATGAGTGTTCACTTAATTTCTGGGTGTTCATCTTTTACTATTTCGATCTTAAGCATCTGTACAATCAGAAAACTTATCGTTGTATCTCTCAGCTCGAGATAGATATTCCAATTTTAGTCCAATTTGCTCTGATTCCTTCTTAGTTTTGGGCATACTTTTTTTCTTATGGATAACTAGTAATTTTCAAACTTTTTGGAGGCCAAAAACACCTTTGAAATTTAAGGAAAGGTATTTCCTTCCTGTCTTCTCAACAAAGTATCATTTAGAAATGACATAACAATATTTTAACAAGCCATAATTAGTAGATATATTAGTAAGTGTACATTAAAGGAACCAAAATCACGCTTTTTCTGAATAGGAAAATTTTAATATAAAATAATTAGTAATCAGAGATTCACTAATCATTTGAGTAAAGAGAACATTAAAGAATACAAGAAGAGCACATGTAGGAAGCAGCCCATTAGAGGACAGTTCTTCACATCCCAACCCTTGAGACTGAGGCCAAGAGCTCATGCAAGAGGGTGAGGCTGCTGTTTACTTAATGGCAGGGCGATATGCTAAGGTGTTGTAGGTTAGGACTGTCAGGAAGGAAATCTGTCACTGAGCTATTGGTGAAACTCAGTTAGAAGCTGTCCACTGCCTTGCTAGAAAACTTGGTAAGAATTACCCTCTGCAGTAAAGTAAAATTCACCAAGAAGCTCTCTAACTATGTGCTGGAGAAACTTACCAAAGGGCATTCATTACTGGGTCTCCTTCAGACAACTGAAAAGGAATCTTCCCACCAACAAGCAAGCTTTCTCCTGGTAGCCATATCCTATAAGCAAGAGTATATATGTGTAAGTGCTTCACATAGAAGAGGAGAGGGGCTCCTTCCTTTCTCAGTTATCCTTTGAACACTCTCTCCTGACAAAGTCTAATACTTGTTGAGCTGTCAAAAAGAGATGTTTACCAGATAGAGCTCCAATGTTACAAAGAAGGGCATTTAAGTGTACATTTAGAACAGGTAAGCCATCAATTTATAATTGGGACAGCCTATACATTAGGCTATCCAGCTTCCACATAAACACTTAGGTAACCTTATATACTGTTTATATATTTACAACAGGAGTATTTGTTTTGTATTTGAACGTGTGTGTGTGTATGTGTGTGTGAGGGGGTTGGGGAGAGAGAGAGAGAGAGAGAGAGAGAGAGAGAGAGAGAGAGAATCTGTCTTCATTAGGTATTTCCAGAAGCCAACTTGAGAAAATGACTGAAATGAATATAACTTATTTGGGGGGTGATCCCAAGAATCACCATTTTGGGTATTTATGGGTATAGGAAGTAGGAAAGAAAAGGGTACAATAAAAGCAAATGGTACAATACAAGATGCATTATTAAGCAAGTGACCATTGTGGGTAACTAAGCTTAATACTAATGGAAGGCTCTGGGAGCAAATGAAAAAAACATACTAGAGAATTATTCCATATAAGTTTTGTGTGATTCAGATATGTACACAGTAACTCCTATAAGTCATTGTTAGAGGAATTCTGCTGAAGGTTTCAATAATTTGGGAAACCTAACCAGATTTAGAAATGGGGAAGAGGTCTCTGGAAATCAAAGAATGTCCTCATGCAAGTAGATGCAGTTTCTGTGGGTTGAAATTCAGGCCTTTATGTACTAGAATAGAAAGGCATGTAAACTCTTTAATCAGTGATATTAATATGTAACTGATATATATATCCATATAAACTCCAATCTTAACCAAATGTTTAACCTATGCACGCTTCAAGTTTTGCATGGTTTGAGGTCCAGTTTATTAATTCGTTTGACTATTAAGCAAGAATTAGTTGAATTTCTACTAAGTGTGTGACACTATATGAATTTTTGGGCACACAACAATAAACAGTACAGATACAAACATTTTCCTCAAGGAGCTCAGATATTTAGAGTACTTGCTTCAGTTGACATAATATCAAAAGTTATGTGGGGATATAGTTTTTTCTCAAATAAAATAATATGTAAGAAATATTTATATGATTTAAAACATGAAAACATTTGAGTTAGATTCAAAAATATTTCTTGTTTAAAGATGTGTTTTAATTAAAATACAGTATATAAAGTTTAATATTATAATTTATCTTCTATATTATATATAACATAATTTAAATTAAAAATCAACTTTTTATATCATGTCATCATGCCATTTATATATATATGTGGGTATGTATATATATATGTGTGTGTGTGTATGAGTGTGTGTGTATATATATATGTATATATATATATATATACATATATATATACACACACATATATATATATACACAAAATTTTTCTATCTGGGGCATCAAGCTCTAGGCACTTTTCAGCTCAAAATTAATGCTTAAACAGACAGTCCTATTTTGGGTGAACTTGAAGTCTGTGAAGACCAGTGAGCCCTAAATCACAAAATAATCGTTGGTCACAAGAGCTTAGATAGAAGCCAGTTTTTAGAAAACTGTACCAGTAAATTTAAACTATAAAAGAAAATGGGCAAAGAACAGAATGTAAACTAAAGGCACATGTGTAATGCCACTTACAAGATAACTCAAAAGAAGCAATAATGATGGAGCATATTATTATTGGGAGACAAAGTACATAGGAATTTTCAAGATTATTTAACTTAATAAATCAAACAGGAAGTAAGACATTAAACCTAAAATTAAAAGTGAGACTATCAAAAAGATGAACATTAGAATAGCGATTATATGAGCATAATCACTTTAGCTAATATTCACCCGAATCTCAGTCAATGACGGTGCTATAGTTGAAGCAAATTAGACATAATTTTATAATTATAATTATATATGGTTGATTAATCATGCACCACTAGACAATATTTAGTGAGCATCTACTCTATGACAGTTATATTTCCAGAGGTTATTAATAAACAGTGACTAAAACAAGAAAGTTAGTGGCTTTTTTCCTTTAATGGGGTGGAAGAAAAAATTAAGGAAATGATGGCTAATAACTAAGTAGTATAGATGCCAGTAAGAAAATGGGTAGTTATGGATACTATAAAGCTGTTTTAGATAAGGTGGCCAGTAAAGACTTCTCTGAGGGCATGAATATTTTTGCAGGTCCTAAAATAAAAAGAACAAACCTCACAAAGATCTGGAGGAAGAGTTTCCCCAATAAGAGGAGTGGATGCCAAGACTTGAGGCAGGATCATTATAAGATGAAGCAACAGAAATTACAGTCCAATTTAATCAGAGTGAGTGAGAGAAAGACAGGGAGAGGAAATGAAGGACCTGATGTGAAAGCCTCGCAGACTGTGGTTAGGAGTTCAGTTTGTGTATAAAACATTGTTGGAGTGTTGAGATATAATCTGATTTATACTGTGAAAGTGTCATTTTGATATTGCAGAGGATCAGCTTAAGGAGACTAGGCATATGACTATAGAGATATGTTATAAAGCCATTGCAGTGATTTAGAAGTGAGATGTTGGTTCTTCAGAGTAGCCTCATATCCATGGTAGTATTAAAAATATTTATTTACTCTACCTTATAGGAGTTATTAGCATTTTGTGATGTGATATGTAGAGAAAATTCAAGGATTACACCAAATTCTTATGGAACAAACAAGTGGATTGAGTTGCCAATTAACAAGAGATAGAATACTTAGGAAGAAGCAAGTTTGGGGAGCAATTAAAATCAATGAATCATTTCTAGTTATATACCCAAAGGAATATAAATTGTTCTAGCATAAAGACAAATGCATGCATATGTTTATCACAGTGCTATTCACAAGAGCAAAGACATGAAATCAACCTAGATGCCCATCATCGGTGGACTGGGTAAAGAAAATGTGGTACATATACACCATGAAACACTACACAGCTATAAAAAAAAATGAGATCTTAGACTTTGCAGCAACATGGATGGAGCTGGAGGCCATAATCCTAAATGTATTATTATAGGAACAGAAAACCAAATATGCATGTTCACACTTATAAGTGGGAGCTAAACATTGAGTACACATGGAAACTAAGATGGAAATAATAGACACTGGGGCCCATTTGAGGGTGAAAATTGGGAGAATGGTGAGGATTGAAAAACTTCCTATCAGATATTATGCTGATTGCTGGGGTGACAAAATTATCTGTACACCAAACTCCCACATTGACATGCGATTTAGACATGTAACAAACCTGTACATGTACCCCTTGATCCTAAAGTAAGAATTGGAAAGAAAAAAATAAGTAAATAAAAATATTGCCCCCCAACAAAAATAATCAAGGAGTATCTTTCAGATTTTGTATTAGTTATTATTGCTGTGAAACATATCATTATAAACTTAATTTCTTAAAACAACATACATTTATTATCTCAAAGTTTCTGTGGAACAGAAAAGACAGGCACAGCTTACCTTTAGGATCTCTTACAATGCTTCTATTGCTATGCTGTCCAGGACTCAGATTTGATTTCAGGTTCAACTGGGGAAGAATCTGCTTCCTATTTCACATGGGTATTGGTGTGATTCAGTTACTGGTGGGCTGTCAGACTGAGGGCCTTAGCTCCTTGCTATCTTTCAGCAAGATGCCACCCTTAATTGCTTGCATTGTGTAACTCTGCATATGATGGCTTAGTTCATCAAAGCTTACAAGGGAAAAAAAAACAAAAGACAAATTCTGCAAGTAAAATGAAAGTTACAATACTGTGATGCAATCACTCAGCTCACTGCTCAGTTCTAAAACAAAGCCTTATATTTTTAGACATTTATTTGAGTGGCCTCCCACTCCTTATACCAAAATATGTATGTGTTAGTCTGTTCTCACATTGCTATAAAGAAATACCTGAGACTGGGTAATTTATAAAGAAAAGAGATTTAATTGGCCCATGGTTCTGCAGACTGTACAGGACGCATGAGAGTGTCAGCTTCTGGGGAGGCCTCAGGGAATTTACAATCCTGACAAAAGGCAAAGGGGAGTGAAGTATCTCACATGGCAGGAGCAGGAGCAAGAGAAAGAGGGAGGAGGGCCACACACTTTTAAATAACAAGATCTCATGAGACTCACTCACTAGCACAAGAACAGCACCAAGTGGATGGTGCTAAACCACTCATGAGAAACCTCCCCCATGATTAAATCACCTCTCACCAGGCCCCAGCTTCAATATTAGGGATTACAACTCAACAGGAGATTTGGGTGGAAACACAGATCTAAACCATATTATTCTGCCTGTAACTCCTTTCAAATCTCATGTCTTTATCACATTTCAAAATACAATCATGCCTTCCCAACAGTACCAAAAGTCTTAACTCCGTCCAGGATTAACTCAAAAGTCAAAGTCTATTCTGAGACAAGGCTTGTACTTCCACCTATGATCCTATAAAGACAAAAAAAGTTAGTTACTTCCAAGATACAATGGAGGTACAGGCATTGGATAAATATTTCCATTCCAAAAGGGAGAAGTTTGCATTGGTGGTATAGTGGTGAGCATAACTGCCTCCCACAAGGAAAAATTGGACAAAAGAAAGGGGTTATAGTTCCCACACAAATCTGAGACCCAAAAGGGAAGACATTAAATTTTAAAACTCTGAAATAATTTCCTTTTATTCTATGTCTCACATTCAAGGCAAACAGATGTCATGGGTGGGCTCCCAAGGCCTTGGGCAGTTCCATTCCTGTGGTTTTCAGAGTTCAGTCCCTGCATCTACTCTAAAGGGCTGATGTTGAGTGTCTGTGGCTTTTCTAGGCACAGAGAGCAATCTGCTGATGGATCCACCATTCTAATATCTAGAGGATGGTGGCCCTATTCTCACAGCTCCACTAGAGTGATCCAGTGTAGACTCTGTAGACTCTGTTTTGGGGTTCTAACCCTGCATTTCCCCTCTGCACTGCCATAGTAGAAGCTCTTCATGAGAGCTCTGTCCCTGCAGCAGACTTCTGCCTGGACATCTAGGCTTTTCCATACATCCTCTAAAATGCAGACAGAGGCTCCCAAGCCACAGCTCTTGCATTCTACACACTATGTGTAAGCCACCAAGGGTTATGGCTTGCACCCTCTGAAGCAGTAATCAGAGTTGTATCTAGGCCCTTTTAAGCCATGGCTGGAGCTGTAGCAACTGGGATGCAGGGAGCAGTGTCCCAAAGCTGTGCAGGGCAGTGGGGCAGAAACCATTCTGTCCTGCTAGGACTCTGGGCCTGTGATAAAAAGGCTGCTGTGACGGTCTTGGGGAAAAAAAAAAAAAAAGCCTTCAAGGCTTTTTTCCCATTGTCTTGGCTATTAGAACCTTTTACTTTATGAAAATATCTGCAGCCTACTTGAATTTCTTCCTGAAAATTAGCTTTTCTTTTCTACCACATGGCTATGTTGCAAATTTTCCAAATTTTTATGCTCTGCTTCCTTTTTAAATATAAGTTCCAGTTGCAGGGTCAATTCTTTACTCTTGCATAGGTTGTTACAAGCTGCCAGGTCACATCCTGAATGCTTTTCCACTTAGAAATTTATTCCACCAGATATCCTAAATCATCACTCTCAAGTTCAAAACTCCACCTATCCCTAGAGCAGGGACACAGTTCTACAAAGGTCTTTGCTAAGGTATAACAAAAGTGACCTTTTCCCCAGTTCCCAATAAGTTCCTCATTTCCATCTGAGACCTCCTCAGCCTGCACTTCACTGTCCATATCACTGTCAGCATTTTGGTTACAACAATTAAACAAGTCTCTAGGAAGTTTCCAATTTTCCCTCATCTTGCTATCTACTTCTGCACCCTCCACACTCTTCCAACCTGTGCACATTATCCAGTTCCAAAGTTGCATCCACATTTTCAGGTATCTTTAAGGCAATGCCCCACTCCTGGTACCAATTTTTGGTGTTAGTCCATTCTCTGTTGCTGTAAAGAAATACCTAAGATTTGGTACTTTATAAAGAAACAAAATGTTCAATTGGTTCATCATTCTGTTGGCTGTACAGGAGGCAAGATGGCATCAGCTTCTTGGGAGGCCTCAGGGACTTACAATCATGGCAGAAGACAAAAGGGGGGTGAGGCAATTCACATGGTGGGAGCAGTAGCAAGAAGGTGTGTGTGCCACACACTTTTAAACAACCAGATATGATAAGAACTCACTCACTATCATGAGAACAGCACCAAGAAGATGGTGCTAAACCATTCATGAGAAACTGCTCCCATGATCCAACCACTTTCCACCAGGCCCCAGCTCCAACACTGGGAATTATAATTGAACATGAGATTTGGGCAGGGACACAGATCCAAACAATTTCAATGTAATAGTTTTCCCTTGCTGTGTAACAAATTATCAGAAAGTTATTGGCAGAATTCATTTCTTTCTGAGATATAAAATGAGTCAGTAGAGTTTCTCAGCTTTTTCTGGTTGTTAACAGGAGGCTATCAGTGTTTTGTCATGTAGGCCTCTCCACATGACCATTTGCCTTATCAAAGCCAATAAGGTAGGGATAAAATGGAGATCACTTTCTAGTAAGATAGAAATTGCAATCTTATGTAATATTATCCAAAATTGACATTACTTCACCTTTGCTTTTATTTATTTATTTATTTATTTATTTATTTTTGAGACGGAGTCTTGCTCTATTGCCCAGGCTGGAGTGCAATGGCATGATCTTGGCTCATGCAACCTTTGCCTCCTGGGTTCAAGTGATTCTCCTGCCTCAGCCTCCTGAGTAGCTGGGACTACACGTGCTCGCCACCATGTCTTGCTAATTCTTGTATTTTTAGTAGAGATGGGGTTTCACCATGTTGACCAGGCTGGTCTCGAACTCCTGAACTCGTGATCCACCCACCTTGGCCTCCCAAAATGCTGGGATTACAGGCGTGAGCCACTGTGCCTGACCACTTGATTTTCTTTATTAGAAGTAAGTCACAAATAACACATTCAAGCAGAGGACATTGTACAAATATGTGCATACCAGGAAATTGGGATAATTGGGGAAATGTTAGAGTCTATCTGCCCCATACCTGTTTATTCTGAGATGCCTATCAGATACCTAAGTGGCCTTATTTTGTATTCAGTTAAATATATGACTCTGGAATCCAAGGAATAATACAGTTTTGGAGACAGAAATTTAAGTTATCGCTAAATGGTGTTTAACTAATATAAC
Source organism: Homo sapiens (assembly GCF_000001405.40). Taxonomy (NCBI): domain Eukaryota; kingdom Metazoa; phylum Chordata; class Mammalia; order Primates; family Hominidae; genus Homo; species Homo sapiens. Next base: position 89,032,206 of record NC_000013.11, on the reverse strand, counting down.
TGTAAGAGATGGCGGCATGTATGCAAATAGAAAAGAGAATAGGATGAATCAGGTCACCACAACATTAGAAATCTATAAGAATTAGAGATTAAGCAAACAGCATTTTAAAAGGAGCATACAGTAAGATTGGAAGAGAACAGAAAGACTGTGTCCTGAAAACTAAAAGCAAAAATTAAGACAGAGTACTTATGTCAAATAATGCTGACAGTACAAGCCGTGTAAGAACTTAATACTGCCTATTGAACATGCTAGTTTCAGCAACAAGAGTATTGGTGGACATAAAAGCCTGATTGGATTGGATATAAGCCAGAAGTGGGCTGAGGAAGTACAAAACACAAGCATAAGCACATTTTTGAGATTTTCTATAAAAAGGAGCTTAGAAATTGGATAACTTGGAAAAGGTGTGATGACCAGATTAGGCTTATTTTATAATGAAAAATATCACTGCATAAGTGTGCAACAGAATATTAATTATTACTTTATTATTTTTCCTGGGAATTTGGACTTCTGTGCAAAATGTGAAAACAAAAGATAATAACTACATGTTCTAAAGAAAGAAGGTAAACACATTCTGAAACATTAACATTGTTGCTTTAATAATTATAAGACTTGAGTTTCTATAGCTTTTGGGTCACAGCTAACTATGAACACATATGAGCATGACCATTCTAGATATAATCTTTAACCTCTTGAATTTTTCCCTAGGTCAGGCATGTCCCAAAGTTCATATCCAGAAGATAAAACAGGTGGAAAGTAAAGGTGCTATGTTCTCATGTTTCCTTGCCTCATCTTCCTTCATAATTGTTCTTTCGCTTCTTGAGAATTTTCCAGGATAATGGATGGTAGTAGAATAATTAAATTAAACCAAAATAAAAGATTTTACTCAGTTCTGTTTATTTTTTTCCTTTGCCTGCAAATAACCTCAAAAAAGGTTTATTTGCACATTTACAATCTCTTATTTTTCATTGAGATGCATTTTTAAATTCCTCAGGACTTCACACTCTTCCCATCTCCCACTCCAGGATGTGACTTTAGTGTACTATTTCCAGATTTATGGAAGTCTCATCAACACATAGTTACTGTGGTCTGGCAGTTAGCCCTACTAAGTGGGTAGTTTCAAGATCATTTTTGCATGGTTTTTAATTTACATAATCTAATTTGTTTCAGGAGAAAAATCATACATTCTATCTTCACCCAAAAAACATGTGTCTGATAGCATTCATATCTAAAGATTCTGCGACTCTGACTCCATAACCTGTTGTGCTGGCTTTCATGGTGTTTCATTTTCCTGTGCATTTTATTTTGACCAGGAACTATGGAACTTCTGAAGCTTTGGTTGAAGTTGACTTCCTTCAAGGGTGATTTAATCTTCCCCAAGCCCTAGAAGAATTACCAATATAGAGACATTTCAAACTAGAGTTTTAGCTAGAGATTTGTTTTTCTGTTTTCTGGTCACACATGTAACGTATATCTGGGCCTCAAGCACACATAGAGGTTGGGTTTACTTCATGAATTCTCAGTGGATTTATCTCTCTCCTCTACCCAATGCCAACATCATGATAAATAGGTTTCCTGCTCATCTCCTTCTGTGAAGAGCTATGAGAAGGAAGACAGGAAACATGCAACCTCTTTGATGTCACACTATGGGTCTTGTGTTTAGTATGCATAAAGATATGAGGGGATTAAAATAAGAGTAGAAAATGAGAAAACACAAAAATAATATAACAGATTAAAATATTTTAATGATTAAAATAAAATGTATATACAAATTAAAAACGTAAATCAAATATTAAATACTTTACTGGTATATGTTTGCAAAAAATAAAATTGTATTAATCAAAGAATATAACTCTCATGTCCGTAAGAATCTGGCAGAGTGCATTGCATAGGGGACCCTTTGTTTGCTAGCATCTGTATCACTTTTCAGCCTTATTTCTTTCCTCTAGACATATAAAATTTTTGGAGTCCCTTGAATATTTTCTCAAAAGCTTTTATCTACATACTTAGATTATTGCATGTATCATGTTATTTTGTAAAATTTTTTATTTTTTATTTTTTTGAAATGAAGCCTCACTCTGTTGCCCAGGCTAGAGTGTGGTGGAAGAATCTCAGCTCACTGCAAACTTCACCTCCCAGGTTCAAGTGATTCTCATGTCTCAGCCTCCCATGTAGCCAGGATTACAGGTGTGTACCACCATACCTGCTAATTTTTGTATTTTTAGTAGAGATGGGGTCGCCATGTTGACCAAGCTGGTCTGAAACTCCTGACCTCAGGTGATCAGCCCACCTTGGTCTCCCAAAGTGCTGGGATTACAGGCCTGAGCCATCGTGCCTGGCCTTATTTTATAAATTTGATTACATGTTTTTCTCCTTGCTAAACTATGAGTTCCTTGATAAGAGGGGGGATGAAGTCTTATTACAACTGATAAGGGATTAATAGCCAAAAAGATAAAGAACTCTAACAACTCTATAGAACACAAAAACAAATAATTCAATTAAGAAATAGACAAGAGTCTTGAATAGACATTTCTCAAATGAAGATCTACAAATGGCTAACACACGTGAAAAAAACGCTGAGCACTACTAAGCATTTGAAAGATTCAAATTAAAATTACAAAAAGACATCACCTTGTACCAAATTTTCGGATGGCCTTGATCAAAAAGACAAAAGATAACAAGTGTTGGCAAGAATGTGAAGAAAAGAGAACTCTGCTAGTGAAAATGTAAATTAGCACAGCCATTATGAAAAATAGTAGGAAAGTTTCTCAAAAGACTAAAAATATAATTACCATGTGATCCAGCATTCCCACTTCTGAGTATTTATCTGAAAGATTTGAAATCAGTATTGATGTGGTTTGGCTGTGTCACCACTGAAATTTCATCTTGAATCGTAGCTTCTGTAATTCCCACATGTTGTGGGAGGGATCTGGTGGGAGGTAATTGAGTCATGGGGGTGAGTCTTTCCTGTGCTGTTCTCATGATAGTGAATAAGTCTCATGAGATCTGATGGTTTTATAAATGAGTTCCCCTGAACACACTCTCTTGCCTGCTGCCACGTAAGACATTTCTTTGCATTTCTTTCATTTTCCACCATGATTGTGAGGCCTCCCCAGCCATGTGGAACTGTAAGTCAACTAAATTTCTTTCTTTTATAAATTATCCAGTCTCGGGTATGTCTTTATTAGAAGCATGAGAACAGACTAATATAAGTATGTCGAAGAGATGCCTGTACTCCCATGTTTATTGCAGCATTATTCACAATAGCTATGTTATGGAATCAACCTAAGCATCCATCGAGGGATGAATGGGTAATGAGAATGTGGTGTATACACAATGGAATACTATTCAGCCTTAAAAAAGGAAGAAATTCTGTCCTTTGTGGCAGCATAGAGGGAACTGGAGATCAATATGCTAAGTGAAATAAGCCAATACACAAAGACAAATGCCACATGTTCTGCCTACATGTGAAATCTAAAACAGTTGAGCTCTTAGAAGCAGAGAGTGGAATGGTAGTTACCTGAGACTGGGGACTGGGGAGTAGGGAATGAGAAGATGATAATCAAAGGGCACAAAGCCTCAGTTAGATAGAGGAAAGAAATGTGAGGCTTTTTTTGATCAATTGCACAGAATAGTAAATACAGCTAATAATACTGTACATTTTAGTATTACTAAGATAGTAAATTTCTAATGCTATAATCACAAACAGTTAAATATTTGAGATAACAGGTATGTTAATTAACTTAATATTTCCACATAGTCTTAAAAAACCATAACACCACTTTGTACCTCATAAATATATACAGGTATATTTTGTCAATATACAATATAAAGTAGTATTAATTTTGATCTCCTACTAGTATTTGGTATAATAGACAATTTGTTCTAAATATTTAATGTTTATTGAAATAAACTAAATTCTTTTAAAAAATAAAGAAATAAATAAGGAGAAAGAGAAAGAAAGATGCTTTTGTTGGAACACTTTCCTTTACCAGTAACCAAGAACAGCCCAGGCCCATTTCTACTTTCACACTTCTCCAGTCAACAGTCAGACACTATTTTCTTTAGCCACTTCTACTGGGACTTGAAACAGACCACCTTCCCTCAAGAAGTTTCACTCTTCACCTCTCACAGCAGAGTGTGGGTTTCCAATTTACCCTGACTAACAGGACAAGGACAGAAACGACTATTCCCACTGAGACTAGTATTTGAGAACAAGAACTGTTTCTCAATCTCTATTCCTAGATATTGTCTTCAAAATCTTAGACTATGAATCTCATAACCCAGAGAAGTCAAATATGTGTCAATACAGAATACAGGGCAGAAGAAGCTGTGATGAGTCCTCTCATACATTTGCATAACCAGGCAGATTCAGAGGCTGCTAGAGGATAATCTCCTTCTTGGGATCAGCTTTATGCTTCTCCTCAGTGTACCATATCTGCATTAACATTTTCTATGTATATTATGTCATGAAAAGCTTGGAACTCACGTTCGAATTTCTCTCCACTCCTAAAACAAAGAAATTTTCATTCAATGTGTTGTCAAGGAGGAAAAAAGAATATTTGTGTTTGCGTGTTGGAAGACAGTTCAAAAAAGAAGATATTTTCTAAATTAAGTCCATTTAGTAAAATGATTATAACAATGGTTTATTTCTGTATAGAAGGGTGATTTTATTACAGTAAATTAGGTTTAAATAGAAGAAGTAAAGCTATAAAAAATTAAAAAGAAAGGAACCCACTGCCAAAGAAGCATGATTGTCTTGGTCAAAACAAAAAAAAAAGTTCATTTCTGTTATATAAAAACATGAAAATATGTAGAGTTAAATTTGTAGATCATTGGTAAAAGATTTAGTAAGGCCTCTTGTTATTTTTATTTAGTTAATAAAGGAAAAATACATAATCAGTTATACTTAAGGAAAAATTAGAAGGAAACATCACAGAGGTATCAGGATAGAACAAATTCAAGGAATAGGTATTTTTTGGAGGCAGTAAAGTAAATTGAGTGGGAAAATATGATAGGATTACTTGCAGTTCTAAAAGCCCATTTGAAATTACCTGTACATTTAAGAAGACTCACATGGCTTGTGTAAGTGTAGATATGTGTGTATTTTCTAATCTCATCTAGCTTTTTAATTGTTGATGCAGAGTAAGTCTAATCACTTTTTACTGCTGCATAACAAATTACCACAAATGTAGCGGCTTTAAGAAGCAACACGCATAATCTTCTGGTTTCTGCAGGTCAGAAGTAAGGGCATGGTACAACTGAATTATCTGTTCAGAGTCTGCAATACTGACATTGATGTATCTATTCAGCTCTGCTCTCATCTAAAGCTCTAGATCCATCTCCAAGTTCATTCAGGTTATTAGTAGAATTCACTTCCTTCTACCTGCATGCAAGAATTCCATATTTCCTTGCTAGATGTCAGCTAAAAGCTACTAAAAGTTCCTAGATGCCACCCTCATATCCCCACCACATGGACCCCCTTCTCTCACACAATGGGAGCTTACACCTTCAAGACCAGCGGAGGAGAATTTGCTCCTGCTTCTTGCCTTTCTTAGTGGCTTATATGATTAGGTTAAGTCCACTTGGAAGAGTTTACCTGTGGAATAAGTCAAAGTCAACTGCTTACAGATAATAATTACATGTGCAAAATCTCTTTTGCTAGATAATGACATAGTCATGGGAATGATATCCCATAATACTCAGAGGCACTGATTCACTACAAGGGGAGGAAATTGTACAAGGGCGTAGAACATTTGCTGTCTTAGAATTCTACATGCCACAGGAAGTAAAAAGTTAAGTTTAAAAGGAATAATTCCTAGCTTTATTCTGATGAAGTAAAAGAAGTATAACTATACTCACTTTTTTTTATTTTTTATTTTTTATTTTTATACTTTAAGTTCTGGGGTACATGTGCACAACTTGCAGGTTTGTTACATAGGTATACATGTGCCATGTTGGTTCGCTGCACCCATCAACTCGTCATTTACATTAGGTATTTCTCCTAATGCTATTCCTCCCCTAGCACCTCACCCCCCGACAGGCCCCGTTATGTGATGTTCACCTCTCCGTGTCCATGTGTTCTCATTGTTCAATTCCCACTTATGAGTGAGAACATGTGGTATTTGGCTTTCTCTTCTTGTGTTACTTTGCTGAGAATGATAGTTTCCAGGTTCATCCATGTCCCTGCAAAGGACATGAACTCATCCTTTTTTATGGCTGCATAGAATTCCATGGTATATATATGCCACATTTTCTTTATCCAGTCTATCATTGAGGGCATTTTGATTGGCCCCAAGACTTTGCTATTGTGAACAGTGCTGAAATAAACATACATGTTCATGTGTCTTTACAGTAGAATGATTTATAATCCTTTGAGTATATACCGAGTAATGAGATTGCTAGATCAAATGGTATTTCTAGTTCTAGATCCTTGAGGAATTGCCAGGCTGCCTTCCATAATGGTTGAACTAATTTACACTCTCACCAACAGTGTAAAAGCATTCCTATTTCTCCACATCCTCTTCAGCATATGTTGTTTCCTGACATTTTAATGATTGCCATTCTAACTGGTGTGAGATGATATCTCATTGTGGTTTTGATTTGCATTTCTCTAATGACCAGTGATGATGAGCATTTTTTCATATGTTTGTTGGCTGCATAAATGTCTTCTTTTGAGAAGTGTCTGTTCATATCATTTGCCCACTTTTTGATGGGCCACTAACCTATACTGGACAAGGAGAGAAATAAGAACATGAGGTGAATTTGGATGGTGAAAAAATATAGTTTTAATGTATTGGTTATCATGGTGAGGTCAAATCAGTTTTCAACTATCATACTAGAGAAAGTGAACTCAAAAACTAGGTTTACAAAATGTGGTCTGTAATGAGTTTAGACATTATAGAGACTGGTAATAGGGAAGTCTAGGTTGCATCCATGAGGGTGAGGAATGAAAAGGTAAAATTGAATTTATGTCGATGTAGAAATGCCTAAGAATTACATCAGGAGTAAAAGTGAAGAAAAAGACTGTAAACTGCGTGCTAACTGCTTTGAAGAATGAGAAGTCATGCCAAGCAAAATAGTAGATAATTGCAAGAAGGGGACTAATGGTAAGTTAAGTAATCTGTCGTTCATTGCTCTTGGTTGGTAGATGGTCAATTTCTTAGTAGTGATTTAGTCTATTTGTTTGAAAGAATGAGGCAAAATCAGAAAAATCATCAATGAAAAGCATAGTAGAACATATAACTCATCTCAAGGCTTCATTTCATTTGAAGGAGAGAGTACACCCACTCACACACACACACAAACATACACACACACACACACTAAGAAAACTAAAAAAACTGTAGGGGAAGTACTATCATCATGAAATAGAACAGCCAAATAGCCAGTTTAAAAAGTTTGGTTAATTTGTTTCAAATCAGCTTTGAGAATCATCTGTTAATTTATTGTTTTTCATTGAATAAGAATGAACCCTTGTATGGTAAGATACATTATTTAGGAGTCCATTGCAAGATGGCTTGGTACCTGTAGGCTGAGACAGGAGAATGGCGTGAACCTGGGAGGCAGAGCTTGCAGTGAGCCGAGATCACGCCACTGCACTCCAAACTGGGTGACAGAGTGAGACTCCATCAAAAACAACAACAACAACAAAAAAAAAAAAAAAAAAAAAAGCATGATTATCTCAATAGATGCAGAAAAGGCCTTCGACAAAATTCAACAACGCTTCAAGCTAAAAACTCCCAATAAACTAGGTATTGATGGACTGTATCGCAAATAATAAGAGCTATTTATGACAAACCCACAGCCAATATCATACTGAATGGGCAAAAACTGGAAGCATTCCTTTTGAAAACTGGCACAAGACAAGGATGCCCTTTCTCACCACTCCTATTCAACATAGTGTTGGAAGTTCTGGCCGGGGCAATCAGGCAAGAGAAAGAAATAAAGGGTATTCGATTAGGAAAAGAGGAAGTCAAATTGTCCCTTTTTGCAGATGACATGATTGTATATTTAGAAAACCCCATCATCTCAGCCCCAAATTTCCTTAAGCTGATAAGCAACTTCAGCAAAGTCTCGGGATACAAAATCAATGTGCAAAAATCACAAGCATTCCTATACACCAATAACAGGCAAACAGAGAGCCAAATCATGAGTGCATTCCCATTCACATTTGCTACAAAGACGATAAAATACCTAGGAATCCAACTTACAAGGGATGTGAAGGATCTCTTCAAGGAGAACTACAAACCACTGTTCAATGAAATAAAAGAGGACACAAACAAATGGAAGAACATTCCATGCTCATGGATAGGAAGAATCAATATCTTGAATATGGCTATAATGCCCAAGGTAACTTATAGATTCAATGCCATCCCCATCAAGCTACCAATGACTTTCTTCACAGAATTGGGAAAAACTACTTTAAAGTTCATATGGAATCAAAAAAGAGCCCGCATAGCCAAGACAATCCTAAGCAAAAAGAACAAAGCAGGAAACATCACTCTACCTGACTTCAAACTATATTACAAGGCTACAGTAATTAAAACACCATAGTACTGGTACCAAAACAGATATACAGAGCAATGGAACAGAACAGAGGCCTCAGAAATAACACCTCATATCTACAACCATCTGATCTTTGACCAACCTGACAAAAACAAAAAATGGCGAAAGGATTTCCTATATAATAAATCGTGCTGGGAAAACTGTCTCGCCATATGTAGAAAGCTGAAACTGGATCCCTTCCTTACACCTTATACGAAAATTAATTCAAGATTGATTAAAGACTTAAATGTTAGACCTAAAACCATAAAAACCCTAAAAGAAAACCTAGGCAATACCATTCAGGACATAGGCATGGACAAATAATTCATGACTAAAACACCAAAAGCAATGGAACAAAAGCCAAAATTGACAAACAGGATCTAATTAAACTAAAGAGCTTCTTCACAGCAAAAGAAACTACCATTAACAGTGAACAGTCAACCTACAGAATGGGAGAAAATTTTTGCAATCTCCCATTTGACAAAGGGCTAATATCCAGAATCTACAAAGAACTTAAACAAATTTACAAGAAAAAACAACAACAACAACAATCCCATCAAAAAATGGGCAAAGGATATGAACAGACACTTCTCAAAAGAAGACGTTTATGCAGCCAACAGACACAAGAAAAAATGCTCATCATCACTGGTAATCAGAGAGATGCAAATCAAAACCACAATGAGATACCATCTCACACCAGTTAGAATGGTAATCATTAAAATGTCAGGAAACAACAGATGATGTGGAGAAATAGGAACGCTTTTACACTATTGCAGGGAGTGTAAATTATTTCATCCATTGTGGAAGACAGCATGGCTATTCCTCAAGGATCTAGAACTAGAAATACCATTTGACCCCAGTAATATCCATTACTGGATATATACCCAAAGGATTATAAATCATGGTACTATAAAGACACATGCACACATATGTTTATTGTGGCAATATTCACAATAGCAAAGACTTGGAACCAACACAAATGTCCATCAATGATAGACTGGATTAAGAAAACGTGGCACATACACACCATGGAATACTATGCAGCTACAAAAAAGGATGAGTTCATGTCCTTTGCAGGGACATGGATGAAGCTGGAAACCATCATTCTCAGCAAACTATCACAAGAACAGAAAACCAAACACTGCATGTTCTCACTTATAGTGGGGAATTGAAAAATGAGAACACTTGGACACAGGGCGTGGAACATCACACACTCCGGTCTGTCAGGGGCTGGGGGGCTGGGGGAGGGATAGCATTAGGAGAAATACCTAATGTAAATGATGAGTTGATGGGTACATCAAACCAACATGGCACATGTATACCTATGTAACGAACCTGCACATTGTGCACATGTACCCTAGAACTTAAAGTATAATAAAAAAAAGAAAAAAGATACATTGTTTAATTGTCAAAACATTGCAATTAATACAATGAAAATACCACATATTTAAGATGACACATGGACAACAACAGTGCCCTAAACATTATCTTTCCATTGGCTGCATATTAGAAGTTAGACACCAACAAATACAGCAATTTCATTAAATAATAAGTATTTCTAATACACTTGTTTTAAATAAAAGCAGCCTTCTCATAACTTCTCTATTTTTCATAATTACCAGCTATTTGTTACATTTTTTAATCTGAGTTGGAGCCATTTGTAGGCATTCTCCTTTGCAAAAATGCATATTATTATTAATATTTATCTCAATCATAGATATTTGGTCCAATTTGTATTTCCAAGGGAGAAAAATCAATGAGTCCTATCAAAGTTAATTAATCAGTAGCATGGAATTTTATTGGATTAGCTATGACGTTTCTTCAATGGACTAGTTTTTTCAGCTGTTCTTGTTGACTCAGCTCATACCCCACAATTAAATGTCACTAATTGGACTCTAAATATGTTAGCCTTTTTTACTACTTTAGAAATTGTGATCCTACGTATTTCACGCAGTGTCTGGCTCACATCCTCTTACCTTACCAATAGTTCCAGAAAATGTGAGTATTCAGTATGTCTTCACCCATCCCTTCCTTCGGGTCCCCAAACAGTGTTTTTTGTTTGTTTGTTTTTGTTTGTTTGTTTGTTTCCACAAACCGAAAAAAAAACATGCTACTATGACTAGTGCTGAGGGATAACCAAATACTAGTTAAACATCATTTAATTTTGTTTGAGATAATGCTGGTAAGTGAAATTCAAGATTTCTTCTTTGAAAATGAATAAGTGAGGGAAGAGATGGATTTTAAAGATACAAGGAACTTCATTAGCTAAGGCAGTTTGGAGAGTGCATTGTGTCCTTTGAGAATTAAATATTTTTGTGTAGGATGACTGGAAAACATTGTAATATCATAAAGGAAGAGTTACAAAGATCATTAAGGCTTAGCTATTATGCTGAATAGGCCAGATATTACCTTTAAACTAAACATTGATATAAGACCTGCCTTGGCTCTTCTTTAAGAGCTGCACTTGGATATTATCCCCTTGGTAAAGGTAGTAAGAATTAATACAATATTTGGGAGATTTTCCTCATTGTAAAGTCCAAAAAAAAAAAAAAAACCAATTTCCCTTTATCCACCAGAAATGATAGCTTATGTTTATCCTCACAGAATATCAGCTACTATCTGGTCATACTGGACCATTTAAACAATGATTTTACTGCAAAACACAGGTGTGAATGTATGGATGTGTGAATATGTGTGTTTGCATGTGTATGTGTATGTGTGCATGTATGTGATTGTCCCTGCTTAACAATGAATGTTATTCAGATCCTGCTTCATGTTCAAACACCGCTAAAATGCAGAAAATACCAGGAAGTATTTAGATTGCACAAACTACCAGGAGCGATTCATTTTATAAACCGAAAACAAAACCATTCACCAATCTGACAAGGCTTTCAAAGAAAATCCTCTTATTGCTTGTAAGTATCAAAGGGATGTTACCTAGCAAAAAGTTATGTAAAGCCCCAAACTATAAAAATCCTGGAAGACAGCCTAGGCAAGGAAAACATTTTATGACAAAGACACCAAAAGTAATGCAACAAAATAAAAAATTGACAAATGGGATCTAATTAAACTAAGCTTCTGCACAGCAAAAGAAACTATCAACAAAGGAAACAACCTACAGAATGGCAGAAAATTTTGCAAACTGTGCATCTGACAAAAGTCTAATATCCAGCATCTATAAGAAACTTAAATACATTTACAAGAGAAAAATAAACAACCCCATTTAAAAGTGGGCAATGGAAATGAACGTACACTTTTCAAAAGAAGACATACATGCAGCCAACACTCATATGAAAAAAAGCTCAACATCACTGGTCATTAGAGAAATGCGCATCTAAACCACAATAAGATACCATCTCACACTGGTCAGAATGGCCATTATTAAAGAGTCCAAAAATAGCAAATGCTGGTGAGGTTGTGAAGAAAAAGTAACACTTATACACTGTTGTTGGGAGTGTAAACTCATTCAGCCATATGGAGGACAGTGTGGCAATTCCTCAAGGAACTAAAGACAGAAATACAATTTGACCCAGCAATACCATTACTGAGTATATAATCAAAGGAATGTAAATCATTCTATTATAAAGCCACATGCACGTGTATGTTCATCGCAGCACTATTCACAATAGTAAAGACATGAAATGGACTTAAGTGTCCATCAATGATAGACTGGATAATGAAAATGTAATGCATGTATACCATGGAATACTCTGCAGCCATAAAACAGAATGAAATCATTTTCTTTGCAGGTCCATGGATGGAGCTGGAGGCCATTATCTTTAGCAAACTAACAGAGGAACAGAAAACCAAGTGAGAACCACATGTTCTCACTTATAAGTGGGAGCTAAATGATGAGAACACATGGACACATAGAGGGAAACAACAGACACTGGGGTCTATTGGAGGGTGGAGGGTTGGAGCAGGGAGAGATCAGATCTAATAATTAATATGTACTAGGCTTAATACCTGGGTGATGAAATAATCTGTACAACAACCCTCATGACACAAGTTTACCTGTGTAACAAAACTGTGTTTGTACCCCTGAACTTAAAATAAAACTTGAAAAAAAAAAAGAAAATAATGTACAACAACGAAAACCAAAAAACTCACAGATTCCTGGAAAATTGAATTTAAAAATGCTGTAAAACAGGAGGTGAATAGGTGAAAACACCATGTATAATGTTAGAAATATTTATACCAGTTGTTCTGTCCTTAATGCAAGTGATACTTTTATTTTAACTGTATTAGTTTGCTGCTATTTCTAAAGGCAAAATCTGTGTCATTATTTTATGAAGTATTTTATCTGCTTATAATTCCTTAATATTAATATAAGATAGAAATCATTCTGGCAGGTTATTACACTTTTGAATAGACTATCAAAGAAAATTTGGCAGAGCTGAGATTTCCAAAAAACAACAACAAAAAAAAGGAGCAATCATTATTATCATACTTTACAAATAACTAGAAATACAAAGAAAATAGGAGAAAAATATAAATGATCGTTACTGGTTTCCTCAATTTCTTTGCTAGTTCGAATGGCAGTCAAGCAATTTAAAAATTAATGGCAAGAGGCCAGGCGCGGTGGCTCACGTCTGTAAACCCAGCACTTTGGGAGGCCGAGGCGGACGGATCACAAGGTCAGGAGTTTGAGACCAGCCTGAGCAACATGCTGAAACCCTGTCTCTACTGAAAATACAAAAAAAAAATTAGCCGGGTATGGTGGCACGTGCCTATAGTCCCAGCTACTTAGGATGCTGAGGCAGGAGAATTGCTTGAACCTGGGAGGCGGAGGTTGCAGTAAGCAGAGATCAAGCCACCGCACTCCAGCCTGGGTGACAGAGGGAGACTCCTCAAAAAAAAAAAAAAAAAAAAAAAAAAAAGAAAAAGAAAAAAAGAAAAAAAAAGGCAAGAAAATTCAAAATGATAAGTTGAAAAGAGCTCACATTATTTCAACTCTCCACCTCAAATAAGATACTATCCTGATAGACCAGTTCTGAATTAAAAGACATTTTAAATTGTCTTCATGTTTCAAAAATATGAATACTGTTAAATAAACTCCTTTGATTATCTTAAATCATACTTTCAAAATACCACCACATATATTATTGCATTACATATATCATTGCATACAGTCAAGTAGAAAATTCTAGAATTCTGGATCTCAGATTTTTTTCCAATTATATAATGAGATTAATGAATAGGAAGAAAGTGTCTATTACTGCTTTTCTTTTTAGCGTCATCTTAAACTTTTCTAAAATTATCATTAATTATTGTTTATCCTTTCACTGACCATTGCCCTAAATATAGTATCTGTCACTTACATGTATTTCAAAATATTGTTTTTGGTTATTCTGTAATGCTGATTTAAAGAGATGCAAATTATTTTCCATAAAGTACCTCTGTATTCTCCTTTTTGGAGCTTTCTTATATCTGTTGCCTGTTAAATGTCTGGCCACTTGTGGCACTTTCCTTCTCTATCTTTCTCAATGTAATATTAAATTACCATAGCAATTATAAAATCATGCAGAATAATAAATGTGTGGTACAAAGTCATTGATACAAATACTAGAAAAGAAAATGAGGTTTAGGCCTAAAGGCATTATGTGATGTAAATAAGGAATACTAGTTACAATAACAAATGTATCATCATATACCATATTGTCATCATAGCCATTATTATCACCATACATCTTTTAAATGCAAACAGAAGAAAGGATGAATTTGTTAATGCAGTGGAACACAAAATTGTTTTATTATTTGGATATATTAATGATTTGGCAAGAAAAAATAAATTTGACATTTCTATTGATTACATAGCTGTTAAAAATGAGAGTCATGAATAGGGAAATGTATGAAAATAAGGATGCATCTGAAAATGTCAATTATTCAGAAAAAATTCGAGTTCATTTCTGATTTTATTTATCATCACACTTCATATCATATTTATTTCAAATTTGGGGGCAGATTCAATAAAAGAAATGAAGAGAAGTTATTTAATTATGAAGTTTTCTGTCAGGAAATTCTTATGTACCCATAAGTCTATGTAGTCTCGATCTCTTGACCTCATGATCCACCCACCTGGGCCTCCCAAAGTGCTGGGATTACAGACGTGAAACACGTGTCTGGCCATAAATACCCAGTTTTTAATGTGTAATTTTATGCTTCTGAGTACAAAAAGTCATAAATGGAAAGTTTTAATTCTTCTAGGTTATTTATTATTTAATGAAAGTTCTGTGAATTTATATTCTAGAAATAAAATTTTCAATATCTACGCAAGGTTTTGTTAATGTGTGTGTGTGTGTATGTATGTTTCGTTTTTGTTTTTTTTTGTTTTTTTTTTCAGACCGAATCTCGCTCTGTCACCCAGGCTGGAGTGCAGTGGCACGATCTTGGCTCACTGCAACCTCCGCCTCCTGGGTTCAAGCGATTCTTCTTTCTCAGCCTCCCTAGTAGCTGAGACTACAGGTTCATGCCACCATGCCCGGCTAATTTTTGTATTTTTAGTAGAGACGGGGTTTCACCATGTTGGCCAGGATGGTTTCCATCTCTTGTTCTTGTGATCCACCCACCTCGGCCTCCCAAAGTGCTGGGATTACAGTCGTGAGCCACCACGCCCGGCCCCACTGTGTGATTTTTACTAGCAAAAAAATTAAAGAGTGACTAGTAAACACAGGAAAATTCAACAGTGGAAAATCTGGATAAATCATCAACATTATGGGTAATTTTAAAGTAAATTATTGGAATTCTATCAGTGGACTTGAAAAAATATTCAAGAGGTGTTTTTCATTAATATGTTAAAAGTGTATATTCAGTTTGTTAACAATGGTCACTGATAAAATATGTATATGTATGTTTATGAATATTTCTATATTAGTATTTATTTGATTATATGAATATGGTTAAAATATACTGAGAGGGCAGAGAAAGCAACTGTGGTTTGTTATAGTTCTGATGAGGGCATAAGAGCAAGTAGTAAGGAATAAACCAAGTCAGTGACATGACACAGAAAAAGTAATCCAAGACTATTAAATTATATCCATAGTGTGTCTACATTTGTGAACTATTACATATATGCGTGAACATAATTTGTGTAAAGGCTTTTAATTGTTTTTTACTTGAAGGTAAATGGGTGAAAATTCTTCTCAGTATTCTGGAATATTCACCAGTTAATTATGTAGTTATAAGAGACAACATTTTACCTATTCAAATTTGTTCTTACCAAAAGAAGTGGTCAAGGTTATATAAAGATTCATTTAAAGAAGAGATGACAAAATGAAGGAAAAAAATTGGCATTAGGAAAACTAGATCTAGGATCTAATTGTTAAAAGACTGTAAATGCTCTTCAACTCCAATCTTGTTGTGTTGGTGTGTCTTAATGCTTACCTAATGTCTTACATTGTTGGGAACATTTCTATAAATGAGTCAGCTTACGGTATCTCTGCTTAGCAACATGCAAGGAGAGAAGGAATGTTCTCTCAATTTTGGTATATCAATCCCAGAAAAGTTCTCTGATTGGTTTGACTTTGGTCATGTTCTGTGATTGCTCCAATCAATGTTACCAGAAGGAAGGCCGATTCCTGTCTTCACAATTATTCCAAATGTGGCTCAGAAAACAGCTGTATTAATATTATCTGAAAATGTGTTGGCAATACAGAAGCTCAGGCTGTGTCCTAGACCCACTGAATCAGAATCTGCTCTTTAAAAAGATCTCCACACATTAAAATCTCAGAGGTGCTTCCCTAACAAATTAAGCATCATATTCAGAAGGAAATTATTGTAATACATTCCATTTTTATTCTTATTTTTCTCTCCTTGCTTTCATTTTTATCTCATGTCTATTTAATGCTTCTTTCTGTTCTTGCCAAATAGCTAAGGAAATGTGTGGGGTGCTGAAAATTGCTGGATGTTGTCAACTGATACTTCTAAGCCACACAGTTCTATTGCCCCAAAATAGCTAAATGTGTTCCTAAAATGTGTTTCTGTGAATAATGGTTCAAAATTCAATTATTTGGAAGATTCCTTTTCAAGAGCATTTCATATCTAAGAAAACATGAACATATTCACAATGATTTGGCCTTTCCCAAATTAAGAAAATACCCAATATTTATATAAAGAATTAACTGAGCCTGACCAATGCAAAAGCATGATACAGGTTTGTGCAAGCAGATACACACACCTGAAGATTTAACATAGCTCATTAATTTGTGATTTATATTCAGCATCACAATTTGTAAATTTATTTAATCACTTATGAATATAATACTACTAAATTTATCTTTGAATCTGAATTTGTTTAATCACCTAAATTATTCATAATTCGAACATATGTTTGACAAATATTAGGCTTACTGGACAACCAAGATGATTAAATTGTCAAGGAGAGAATTCACTTTCTTTTATTAATCACAAGCATTCTTTTATAAAAATGCTCACCATATTCATGTGATTTTCAGGAAAGCTCTTATGTTTTTCACATAATTCATATCTAAAAGACTTTTGACTTAGTGCCTAAAGAGCAATTTAGCAAGCAATTTCATTTTTGAAGGAAGTAATAAAGCTCTCCCATGGCTTTTGTTCTTGAGAAAGAAAAAAAGCCAGAAATAAATAGATTACTGCCAAATTTAGTTGTAGTTTTTTGGGTAAGAAGTACTTTCCTAGATATTTAACTTTGAAAAGATAAATTGCAGTGAACTTTATGTGATAGGGGAAAGCTACTCTCATTATTCAACACTTAATATATAGAACCAGGATAAAGGTATCATATTCAATTCTTCATTAGAGATATGAAAGCTGATAACCAAAGAAAGTTTATAACAGTCGAAATGTAATGGTTACAGAAATACTGACATGTACTTGTTCCTTAAATATTTTTTGAATGTCTGATGATCAAGTTTCTTAAAACGAAAAAAAATCTACCAGTTTTTTTTGTTTGTTTTTGCTTTTTTTTTTTTTTTTTTTTTTTTTTGACAGTGGCTCCTCCTGATTGGGGTAGAGTGGGGATTGTAATTATTTCCAGACTTGCAAGAGACTAGAGTAAAGCAGTTTTCATTACTTCTGGGAAAAGGGAACAAAATTACTATCCTGGAAGTTAAAATTTTATATACTTCAGAAACAAAATAACCCATACTGGAAATTAAAATTCTGCTGGAGTACACTGAAAGGTAATAGAACTGAGGCAGGATGGAGAATGACTCATTAGAAGATTTTAAATACAATCAGGTCAGTAGGGTATTTTTACATGTTATAAAAAGGGAAACATAATTGTTACATAGCATAAGCTTTGTATATATTTTGAAGAAAAAATGTAGGTAAAAATATTTTAACTGAAGCAACATCATTAACACATTACTATTTTAATACCAAAAATTCAAGTTTACTGACTACATACACAACACAATCATCACCATAGTTCTCTATATTACTAACTCTTAAAACAAAATAAAAAAGGCAAAATATGAAAAGCATTTAACATTAATAAAAATTTAAAGATGTACAAGAAGTAGCTACTGTGCAAATATAGAGTAGTATTGTCATAAACATATTGACGTTTTATAAAATGACATAATTTTTAAAGTTAGTATTTTATTGACTGCATCCTACTTGAAAGAGAAAACTATTTCCATATTTAGTCTTTAGTAGTTTAGACAGACTTACGTAAGAACTAAATGGCCTGAGCTGATTAAATAATTCATTTCTGTTTTTTATGCAATCTCCAATTTTAGTATAATATGTGAAAAAGCTATAGTGGGAAATTTTTTTTTCTTTTTTTTTTTTTTGTTTGTTGTTGTTTGTTTTTTTGAGACGGAGTCTCGCTCTGTCGCCCAGGATGGTGTGCAGTGGCGTGATATTGGCTCTCACTGCAACCACGCCCCCTGGGTTCAAACAATGCTCCTGCCTCACTGAGCCTCCCTAATAGCTGAAATTACAGGTGTGCACTACCACGCTCAGCTAATGTTTGTATTTTTAGTAGAGACGAGGATTCGCCATGTTGGCCAAGCTGGTCTCAATCTCCTGACCTCAAATGATCCGCCAGCCTCGGCCTCCCAAAGTGCTGGGATTACAGACGTGAGCCAGCGCGCCCGTCCTATTGGCTTATTTTGGGAAATTTCAAATGTCTAATTTGACATTAGCTATAGATTGATGCATAAAGAACTAAAAACAAATACAAATTAGCAAAATAAGACAGATTAAATACTCAATAGATAGTTGATTAAAAGTACAAAGCAGGCTACCTGTCTGCTAATGCAGATGGTATATTAGAATTTCTATAAGCTGTATAATATGTATAAAAATGATTTTTGACAATTATTCAGTGTCTTCCTTTGCAAAGGCACTTTATTAAACCAGAAACCTATTGTCTCGATACCTAAAATTTATAACAGAAATACAATTGTCAGTGCATAGTTTCTTAATAAGTTCTGACAAATGACTAAAAATATTAAGGTACCAAATGTTGTTTATTGATAAGCATGCTGACCAAGTCAAATAATGGATGAGAATATACATTTTTTAAAAAGACTTAGATCACCAATCATGGAGAAGAGTGAAAAGCAGAGATTTTGCGGAACCAGAATTGAGTTCCAACTTTAAAACAAGACAGGTGCTTTTCCAACTCTATATTGATTTAGAAACCATGCTTCTTATTCTCCATGCTGTCTTGTTATGGGATCAAGTACTGTGACTTTGTATCTAAATGAATTAAAACATCATAAAATAAAAATATGTATACTTATATTTAATGTGTAAACATTTTACCAATGTTCTTCCTAGAAGTACTATAATTTTATTTGAAAAAGATTCATTAGGTGTAAATATTTTATACATATAAAATATAAACTATTATTCAAATAATGGGACACTTTTTTATTCAATATCAATGTCAAAGTCTTTTCTTTGTGTGCATGTGTGTGCACATGTGCGTATGTGTATAAAACAGTATATTAAGTTCATTTATTGCAAATAATACTTGTGAGTACTACACTTTCTGCCTAAATGGTGAAATAATCAGTACATCAAACCTCCATGGCATGAAATTTACCTATATAACCAACCTGCACAACTACTCTTGAACTTAAGGTAAAAGTGAAAACAAAATATTAACTATTATTCAGTAATATTGGGATCTTATCATCATTGAGAGCAGTTGTTTTAAAAACAGAATTAATGGGTACGTATTCCTATAAAATAGGCAGTAATTTATTTTATTGGTTTGATTTCCCTCAAGGAAAGAAAGACACTGAATATTAAGGGGTAAGAATTATTTTAATAGAAATTAGATCTGATATAGATATGGGAGGCTAAGGAAATAAAGATTCAGACAGGGAAGTTAGAAGTCCAGTGACATACCCACTTGTTAATACTTTTGAAGCACTAGTGTGAGTGTGCATGAAAATCTGAGGAACCAACCACGTCCAGCTGCCAAAATTGGGTCATCTCCCCATTACACAGGATGCCAACAGTGAACCTCGTTTTTAATTATTTTCTGGAAGGCTAAAGGGACAGAAGTACATAACCATTATAATTCATTGGCAGAGGCTAAGGTGGTCAGGAATCACAATAGGGAAATTAGTGACAAGATGGTCAGGGAACAGGTATTTGGATAGGCCTCCTTTAATTCACAGATGGGGAAGATATAGATGTGTATTAGTCTGTCCTCATACTGCTAATAAAGATATACTTGAGACTGCGTAATTTACAAAGGAAAGAGGTTTAAGTGACTCAGTTCCACATGGCTGGGGAGGCGTCACAATCATGGCAGAAAGTGAATGAGGATCAAAAGCATGTCTTACATGGTGGCAGGCAAGAGAGACTGTGTAGGGGAATTCCATTTATATAACCATCAATTCTCATGAGACTTATTCACTACCATGACAACAGTATGTGGGAAACTGCCCTCATTATTCAATTATCTCCCCTGGCCCCACCCTTGACATGTGGGTGTTGTTACAATTCAAGAGGAGATTTGGGTGGAGACACAGCCAAACCATATCAGTATGACTTATCTCAGTAAAAACTAAAAAGCAACTTCCACAGAAAAGTGTCTTAATAATCAGGTAAAAATACAGCCTTTTCTGCAAAAGTCTGTCAGCTTCCTTCCCAGTCATCTCAATGTTTTTTTTCCACTGAGACAATAAACAAAGTGGGATTCAGCTATAAGAGCAATGAACATCACCCCAAATTGGATAACATGAACGAAGGGATTTTATGTACCCTTTTTCAAAGACAACGTTCACATGTTTTTGATTTAATGTAGGATATTTATATCATATAAGGAAGAATTGTGATTTTTTTCGATGTCTTTATTTAGAAGTTAAATACGATTTAAAAGGGTGTGTATTCATGCAAATCTTACAATGAGCAGATGGTGTTTATTGAATTGCATTGTGTCAACTTTGTTAAGGTAGGAGCTGCATTTTGCAGAATCCTCTTCTTTATATAGTTCTTGCTTGAAAGTGACCAAAAGAAGAACATGTATGGAATTTTTAAGATGGGAGTGAAGGCATCCCCATTGCTGTTTGAAAGTCTGCCCCATGAAACATGATGATAGATAGACACATAGATTCCCAAAGAATCCGGCTTGTTCTTGCTCTTCCTCACTTCCTTCACTGTCTAGCTCTGCTATCCAAATTCTGGCCTTGTTGACCAAGAGTGGCTTAATCCACCACCAGCTAATTGATGATAGCTTCAGAAATATGTTACTGTGCATAGGACACAGCTTTACAGAACTCTCCCCACAAAAGTGAACAATCATTTAATCAAATAAACATATCTAGATTATTTACTTTAATAAAGCTAATATATTTACTTTATAAAGAAAAATGTATGCATTTTTCCACGTTTTTCAGTGGCTGGAAAAATGGATGGAAGTTCAGGTGGAAACAAGAAAAATTGTGAACAAAATAAATTATTTTTCCTAGCATATCTAAGATATAATGCAAATGAATTTGTGACTCTAATACAAGAATAAATACAATAGAGTAATATATCAAAATGCTATACCAAATAGCAACCATTTTATTTAAGATAAAATGCTAAAATCCAAAATATTAATAATACAAGAAATTCATAAAATCATTAAGATAGATTCTGAAAAGTCACTTGTATAATATAGAGTACTATAATATCTACTCTTAACATATGACATCGAATATGCCCAAAGTAATTGACACCAGTATGTCAGAGATACCTGTGTTCCCATGTTTACTGCAGCCTT
The DNA here is from genome assembly GCF_000001405.40 of Homo sapiens. Lineage (NCBI taxonomy): Eukaryota > Metazoa > Chordata > Mammalia > Primates > Hominidae > Homo > Homo sapiens. The sequence continues at coordinate 89,010,449 of NC_000013.11, read as the reverse complement.
ATTCAGAACAGCAAGGATACAGAATCAACTCAAGTGTCCATTGACAAATGAATAAAGAATGTAGTGTATATATACACAATGGAATACTATTCAGCCTTATAAAATAAGGAAATCCTGTTATTTGCAACAACAGATATTAACTTGGAGGACATTTTTATTAAGTGAAATAAGCCAGGCATAGAAAGAAAAATATTGAGTGATGTCACTCATTTTTGGAACCTGAAGTTGATCTCACTGAGATACAGAGTAGAATAGTGGTTACCAGTGGCTGAGGCAGTAGTGAGCCAGTGGGTTAAGGAGATGCTGATCAAAGGTTATGAAATTATAATTTGATAGGAGAAACTGGTTCAAGAAATCTACTTTATAACATTGTGACTGTAGTTAAAAACAATATGTTGTATTCTTGAAAAAGGCTAAGAAGAGTAGATTTTAAGTGTTCTCACCACAAAAGTGACAACTATGTGAGATAATGCATATTTTAATTAGCTAGATTATTAATTCCACAATGCATAGGTATTTCAAAACATCATGCTGGACACAATACATATATACAATTTTATCTGTCAATTTAAAAAAGTAACAGTTGAAAAAAGAAAAAAGTTAAAACAAAAAGGCTGGTTAACACACACAAACACACACAAAACGGCATATGACATAGAAACATGTTATTTAAATTTGTAACTTATATCTCAATTTGGAAAATTATACAGTGATATAAGTGAAAGCAAAAATTCATTCAGTAGAAATACATAAACCATTCAGTGTTTATATAAACCTAGTATATATTAAATTATTACTCCATAAGGAATTTTGAGAAATAAAAGTCAACGGAATTTTCAAATGCTTACATGTGACTCATTTGATTATCAACATATGATGATTTAAGTAAAGCATACTGACAAAGTTCTCTATTCTCATAAGCAATCTATAGTATTTGAAATAAAACTCAGATCAATTATAGTGATTATCCTCTACCTTTGATGAAATTTTAATGGTTCAATGATTTTCATGGCCTTTTGAATCCTATTTTAATTAAGAATGTGCCTAAATAAATGTTTAATCAAGGATGAAACAGTGAAATAAACACATTGTGACAATTTCAGGAAATAAAGCTAAAATAATATTTAGCAGACATTTTCCTGCTCACAATTTCTTTCTTGAAACATTGAAGGTAAAGCCACACCATTTTAAGCAACTCTTTTTATTATCAACAAAGGTAGGTGATGCATATTTACATGTTTATTTTGCTTTAGATTTACCTCTATGTTTCTCTGAAAGAAGTCAACCAATTTCATTAACCCGTTAACACATTTTTTTCTATTTGTTGTTGTTACTTATACTGCTTGGTGTTCTCTGAGCTTTCTGTGTTGGTGCTTTGATGTTTGTCATTAATTTTAGAAAGGTCTCAGTAACTGCTACTTCAAATATTTCTTCTTTATCTTTTCCTTTATATTTCCTTCTGGTATGCCAATTACACGCATATTACATCTTTTGAAAGTGCCCCATGGTACATATGGGCTATTTTGAAGTTTTGTTTTAATTTCATTCTTTTTTCTTTTTCAACTTCAGTTTGAAAAATTTCTCTTGACATACCTTCAAGCTGATTAATTATTTTCTCAGTTGTGTCCAGTCTACTCACGAGACAGTAAAAATATAATTTATGCTACAAATTATTTATTGCTTCTGATATATATTTTTCTTTTAGTGTTCATGTCTCTGCTTACATTACCCATCTTCTCTTGAATGTTATGTTTTTGCTGTTAGAGCTCTTAAAGTATGCATCAAGGTTATGTTAAATATCCTCTTGCCTAATTTTAAAATCTGTATCATATTTGAGATCTGATTTCTTATGCTTAGGCTCTTTGTCTTTTTTTTTTTTTTGGCTTTTAGCATACCTTGTATTTTTTTTTCTGAACATGTTGTATCAGGTAATGAGAATTTTAGTGTACGGTTTTATGTTAATGTGGCTACCAGATGGGCTATGATTAATCTTTGCTGTAGCTATAGTTACTAGAGGCTTCACGTTCTTCCAGTATTCTAGTTTATTTTTCTCCTCCCTAGAGTGTCTCTTGCCAATCTTTCAGCTGTAATCCACTGTTCTTATATTGGAGTCCTGTTGATGTAATGGTAAGATGTGTGGGAAGATACCATTTACATCTCTTTTCTATTACTTTAGTGAACGTTTTGTACACTTCCTATGTGATTTTTTTTAAAACACAGATTTATATCTTCAATTTCTCTTCTAAAGCAGCATTACAAAGCAAATAGTCACATAAACACCAATAATCTTCCATTTCATCTATATAGACATATTTATGGGATCACTAGTCAATTGGATATTATATAATTGTTCATTCAGCTATGATCACTGTGCATGGATGAATCCTGGAATCTAGAAATTCTGGAATCAAGCTACAATAAGATTTAGTGTCATAGAAAGGCTTAAAATTTATTTTAAGAGACAAAAATGGAGTCACGCAACATGTACTAATTATTTACCTATATATTCTTCTTTTTAGATATAGCCAAAATGATAATTAAAGTAATATTACAATGAATTTGCATTAATTCATAACTAATAAAATACTTCTTCCTCCTTTATTTTCTTGCTTCATATTGAAACATCAGTTGTCCCAATCTGAGAGTTGAGAGTTATACTTCAGTTTTCTTTCTCCTATACCACTCATTTCTCAGTAGTCACCAATCTATATAACAACATTTTTTCAGTTAATCTATTTACTTCACTATCCTCTGTCATTGTTATAGTCTTCAACACTATCATGTCAAAATAAATCTTATAAACGACTGTCTTACTGACTTCATCTTTTTTTTTCATTTATACTATGCTTTGCAAAAACAATTGAGTGGATTTAATTATGTAACATTTCTGCAAGACTTTCCTTGAGGAAATTCAGCAATTGGTTTGCAATGACTTTCTTGTTCAAGGCTTTCTGTAACTCATTTCTTATTCTTTAATCTTCATCTTCTCCAACTACCATACAAAACTCTTAGATATCCAGATATTCCATGTAATCTGTCATTCCATGCATTTGTAAATATTGGATTTCCTTCCTCATTGTATGTATTGTTCAATTATCAGCTAAAATATTACTACTACTAACTTGTATTTCCTCACTTTATTGTGTCTTTTTTTTTTTTTTTTTTTTTTGAGATGGGGTCTTGCACTGTCGTCCAGGCTGGAGTGCAGTGGCACCATCCCTGCTCACTGCAACCTCTGCCTCCCAGGTTCAAGCGATTCTCCTGCCTCAGCCTCCTGAGTAGCTGGGATTACAGGTAGCTGCCACCATGCCTGGCTAATTTTTGTATTTTTAGTAGATACAGGGTTTCACCATGTTGGCCAAGATGGTCTCAATCTCTTGACCTCGTGATCTGCCCATCTTGGCCTCCCAAAGTGCTGGGATTATAGGCGTGAGCCACTGTGCCCAACCTGATTATGTCTTTCATATACATTCCCATAACACTTTCCTCTTCCCATACCAAAGCATTTACCACGTTTTTTAAAGGCATTTTTTTTGGCCTGTCTCCTTGGTACTCTCAAGACTTTATAAATATCAGGTGTTTTTTAATTAATTTTTCTCTCATGAATTGCCTAGTATCCAACATAACATAAAATACGTATTCAATACAAATTTATCATTGATTTGATGTTTGAAGTATTTTTAGATAATCTACAAAATAAATGTTCCTTAAAAATGGATTAATTTACTTTATTTTGATGTCTGAATCTAGCTTATGTTTATTTTTGAAATGTATTTAATTTGAATTTATTCTAGGATGGATACATTATGCAATATTATAGGGATTTGTCTTAATATAGTCACCTTTAACTGTACACTTCGTTAATGTATGTGTGTTTTTGTTATAGTCACAATTTCAGTAGGTTCTTTGACTAAATTTTAGTATAAAAATCAGAATTTTTCCTGTAACAGTGACCACTGTTTCCAAGAATAACAAAAATGTCAGATTTGTTATAGCATTGTAACATGTTTAATGGTTAGTAGTCTTATGTACCATAAGTAGATGTGTTATAAAAAACTTAATTTTATTATTTTTCAGAAGCAGTAATTACTGATAATGGTAAAGCATGAGGTGGAGGTGTTGGGGCAAAGGTCATTTTCTTGCTTTTATAATTAGCTTCTTTACTTTCTATTCCTTTAGAATTGATAGAGATCTCATTAAGAGTAGCTGTGCTAGTACACATTTTTTAAAATGTTATTAGCAAAAAAGAGGTCATTTAATTCTTCCTCAGTTTGGAATTACTTGCAATGATTGTTTTAATTGTGAAACCCCCTATGGGGGTTCAATGTTAATAATCCAATTTGTATAAATGAAGCTTGGAAGCTCGGTCAAAGACTGGTCATGTTATTCACTCTTATCACTCATTTTATGGGATATACACAAAATGATTTATTTATCAAACAGATCTTTGGGTATATACTGGATATAGTTCAGCTCCTGAATACACCATCTGTATACTGTCACTTCTATCTTAATAACTGCTTATGTAAAGGCACAGGCTTTTAACACTATTTTAAATCAATTGATATGTGTTGAACTTTCAATATACAAATAAATATTTCCAGTTAGGATAGCTTCTAAAAATGATAATAGTGACAGCACTTTTGATGTAACACTCTAGCTTTTACTTTCCCAAGACATTATTGTAGATGTGAAGTTCATTTTCAATTTCTCATGCCATCATGCTTACATGTTATAATCACCATTGAAAGTAATTATTTTGGAAGTTTGCCACAATAAAATTGGTACGGGGCTTGAGTTAAGCATATGTTTTCCTTTCCTAGAAGTAATAGTTCAAAAAAACAGGTCCTTTGGTAATGAAGTTGCTAAACTTTAATCGCTTACACAGCTCACAAAAGAAGTCGTGGGTAGAATGATTCTTCGTCAGAATTAATTTGAGTAACATGAGAATAGTTTGAGGAATATACCCATTTTTCCTTTTCTGTAAACTCCATAATATTTCCCTAATGTTTGTTTGTGAGATAATCTTTCTCACAAAAATTTATTTATAGGTAATTTATTTATAGGATTAAAGAAAATTAAAACTTAGAAAATGATTGTACCCCAACCAGAGTCCGTTATTTGATTTGAAAAATATAAGTAATAAAAGTAGTTTCCAAAGAGTACACAGAGATGAAAAGGACTAACATCAATTGATCAATTATTATGCCCTACATATTTGTTTCATACTGATGTGCCATTTAGTGCTAGTACCTTCTTTTAAAAAGTTGATAGAACTTAAAAAACTTAACAACTTTAAAAAAAGAATAAGTAAAAGACAAATTTTAATATTACTTTATTCAACTTTCAGCCTGTCATGTTAAAACATAAATTATAATGTATCTTGGAAGCAAAGGCTCATAAAAATCATAATACATTTATCAAAGACCTCTTGGTCTACACAAGAGTTGGTGGGAAACAAAACTGGCATATGTGCCTAAGTAGTATTCAAAGGTCCTGAATCAGTGTTAAACTTATTCTACATCAATTCAGAATAATTTCTCATGGAACTATTTTGTGGAGCATTATGCAGTTCTTATAAAAGCCCATTTCCTATTCTCCTCTTTTAGATTTAAAACATTCTGGCTGCCTGCTTGTGAGCACTCTAAATAAATATGGATGTTATTTTTGTTTTGACCTCATTAATTACTCAGGTTAATTATGGTTCAAGAATAACTTTCTAATTTAAGTGGACACATAAAAAAGAAGATAATTAAAATATATTACATGATTAAACATGTAAACATGTTCAGCTGTGAAGAGACATTAGGAAAGAAAGGACATACTCAACCATGATGTTTAAAAAAATAGCTTACCATTGTTGCTTTAAATAATTTACTTACTACTGGCACCATTCTCTTTTGCTGATAACTTTTGTTTTGTTGTCAATGTTTGTGCTTTTTTTCTAAGGTAGAATGAGGCTATATCCAAAAAGAATTACACAGGAGAATAAGCAGGAGATTCTTCTGGATAATTTTTCTAATACCAAAACTATCTTTCATGGAATAGTTACATCATATATTTTTAAATTTTATGTAGAATTTTTGTATAAAAAACTGTAGTGGCGCATCTACTTATTATTCACATATTATTTAAGGGTATTAAAAGTTCTTGATTCTTCAGAGATAAATATATTTAGAAACACCATTCCTATGTAGAATTAGAGACCAGCATACAATTTTGAAAAGTGTAACTGATTTCTGAAAAATGTCTTACATCCGTTAACTACAAATAAATATTATTTCCAAAAGTTTCTATATCTCTATTAACACTGTTAGTTTTCTTCTGAGTTTTATCCCTACACTTCCCTACTATCCCTACTTACATTATTTGACATTTTCCATGTCTATAAACAAAATTTTAACCTCCAGAACATTTCCCATTTTGGGGTATCTTATTTCTATTAATGATGCCAATCATCTGTAATAATATTTTAGGATTTCACAGTCTTTAAATACACAGGTTTTTCTATTCAGATCATTGGTTTGTTTGATCTACGCTTTCTTTTGCATTTCTATTGTGACTGCCTCAGAACATCAGACTGACATCTAGCTTATTTTCTCACCCACATAAGTGCTTTTCCTGTCTCGCAATTTTTTTCATCTCTCTCCTCTTCCACAAATCCAATATATTTTTACTGTAATATGTTTATAAATATACTGTGGCTGATGAAAACATTCTTTGCCTTGGCATAAGGCCCAGTTTTCACCATGTTCCTCATAGCTCTAACTAATTGGGGCTTCATTTACATTTACACTTTATATTACCTTGCATTTGCATTTTACAGATTAATTTTTGAATTCAAATTACATGAGTCCTCCACTTTAGTCAAGCAACCCTGGTTATATTTCTTCAGTCATTATTTGATGTTAAATATATCTACACTTTTCTCCAGTTATCCAAAACCAGCAATTGCTTCCTGTTGACATTTTTCTCAGTATCACATTGATCCTTTTCTTCAATCTCTATTGAATCACAAGTCTGTGAACAGATTCTTGAATAAAATTATTCTTTTCATAATGTCTCTAGTATGTGTTATCTGTAAATATTGCCTATAACATTTTATTTGTGACTATATTGTGTTTCTGTGTCTCCATGATTTCTCTCCTTTTATAGAAAGTAAATATTTTCTGTAAAGAAATAAATGTTTAGTAGTATATGAGAACAAAAGTTAGACATCTAATGAGTGCCAAAAATAGAGCCTACATAGCCAAAGCAAGACTAAGCAAAAATAGCAAATCTGGAGGCATCACATTACCTGACTTCAAACTATACTACGAGGCCATAGTCACCAAAACAGCAGGGACTGATATAAAAACAAGTACATCGACCAATGGAACAGAATAGAAAACCCAGAAGTAAAGCTAAATACTTTAAGCCAACTGATCTTTGACAAAGCAAACAAAAACATAAAGTATGGAAAGGACACCCTATTCAACAAATAGCACTGGGATAATGGTCAAGCCACATGCAGAAGAATAAAACTGGATCCTCATCTCTCACCTTATACAAAAATCAACTTAAGATGGATGAAGGACTTCAATCTAAGACCTGGAATCATAAAATTCTAGAAGACAACATCAGAAAAAACATTCTAGACATTGGCTTAGGCAAAGACTTCATGACCAAGAACCCAAAAGCAAATGCAACAAAAAAAATGATAGACAGGTGGGATTTAATTAAACTAAAAGGTTTCCTCACAGCATAAGAAACAATCAATCAGCAGAGTAAACAGACAACCAACAGAATGGGAGAAAATCTTCACAATCTATACATCTAACAAAGGACTAATATCCAGAATCTACAAAGAATTCAAGCAAGAAAAAAAAAACATACAATCCCATCAGAAAACGGGTTAAGGACATGTAAAGACAATTCTCAAAAGAAGATATACAAATGACCAACAAACATAAAAAATGCTCAACATCACTAATGATGAGGGAAATGCAAATCAAAACCACAATGTGATAGCACTTTACTCTGACAAGAATGGCCATAATCAAAAAGTCAAAAAATAATAGATGTTGCTGGGAATGCAGTAAAAAGGGAACACTTTTACACCACTGGTGGGAATGTAAGAGTACAATGAGTATGGAAAAGATTGTGGATACTCCTTAAATAAATAAAAGTAGAACTACCATTTGATTCAGCAATCCCACAACTGGACATCTACCCAGAAGAAAAGAAGTCATTATACGAAAAAGATACATGAACATGCAAGTACTTACAAAGCAATTGCAAAAATATGGAACCAGCCCAAATGCCTATCAATCAATGAGTGGATAAAAAATTGTGATATACACACACACACACATACATATATAATATAATATATATGTGATATATATGTATTTCATGGAATGCTATGTTTTATATATATATACACACACACAGACACACACACACACCATGAAATACTATTCAGCCATAAAAAGAAACAAAATAATGGCATTCGCAGCAACCTGGATGGAATTGGAGACCGTTATTCTAAATGAAGTAACTCAGGAATGGAAAACCAAACATCGTCTGTTCTCACTCATAAGTGGGACCTAAGCTATTAGGATGCAAAAGCATAAGAATGATATAATGGACTTTAGAAACTTGGGGAAAAGGTGGAAGGGGGGTGACAGATAAAAGACTACAAATTGGGTACCGTATTTACTGCTCGAGTGATGGGTGCACCAAAATCTCACAAATCACTTCAGAAGTTACTCACGGAACCAAACACACCTGTTCCCCCAAAAAACTATGGAAATAATAAATAAATAAATAAAAATCAATTTGAAAAGAATGTATTGTTATGTTTAATTAATAAAATAAACATATGATACAATTAACAAGAATATGTTGGGAAAGCTATTGTCATCATATTTTGCCTTAGCTTTGTCTCATTTTTTACCAAATAATATAGGTTGACAAACAGATGTATAGAAAATAGACAAGATATGTAGATGATTGACTGATTGATTGATAGATGCATAGACATTTATATAGATGAATACATATTTTTTAGCCATAATGCTTGTTTATTGTTAGATAACTATCTATGACTATGCAAAATATCTAGTCTATCAGATAATACTATTTAACATAAAAAATCAAAAACCTAAGATTTGCCTTTATATAAATATCTCTCATAAGGATGTATAGCCATGAATAAACTCTGTTACCTTGAAGAAAATAATTTTATAGCAAATCACCTGTCTTTGGGAATATCACTTCTTTATTGTCAGAGAATCTCCTTTTGAATAAAAAAATCTGTCATTCATTTAATCTATTACAATTTCTTTTACACTTAGTATTCTTTAAAATATAACATGCTATATGACTATGTATTTCAGTTCATTAATTTTCCAGTACATAACAAATGGCTGCATGGGCATATAAATCATTTTATTGGTTTTCAAAACTTGATTTTTCTTGATATGCATTCACCAGAAGAGTTACTTAAAGGATTTTGATCTGTTGTTAGTAACATCATGCATCTATATTTCTAGATAACAATTTATGAAAGATATTTCACAAATTAATATGAATGTCTCATTGACAGTAATAAAATGAAATTTTATAAAGTATAAATATGTGTATTTATATTTATTATTAGTTTTGCTTTCAATTAGATGACCAATTAAATTTAGCTAAACTGTTTATTTATACATTTTAAAAATAAAAATAGAAATTCCCAAATATAGAATACAGTCTGGGAAATATTCATTCCTTAATTATCCCTTCCTAATGATTATGAATTTCCACAAGAAAGAATATGACGGTCTTACATATGATTTATTTTATGTGACCATACACCTCCCTGACACAAAATTAATATGTCTAAGTGGCAAGTACAAATGAACATTTAGACTGGAAGTGACTTAGCCATTTATCAAAATATTGTAGTATAAAAACAGCTCTTTACATTTTCTGCAAAAATGATCAATATCTACATGTCTGTCACTTAACAAATTATATCTGTAATTTTTAAATTTATGGACAAACCCATCAGATATCAACACAGACATTTCTTACTTCACCTGTTATGTATTTATCTATAATTCTGAGGGTTGGGAGGAAGAAGGGCATGAAAACAGGAAATAAAGATTTCCAAGAAAGTATATAGAGTCTGATTTTTACTTTCATTGCATCCTCCTTAATTATAAAATCTAAATACCTCAAGTTAGGAAAAGGAACAGGTCATACGTATTAAATATTTATTAACTGTGACAAAATAGTAACTTTTATATTCCAAATCAATGAGAATTGGGTTAGATTAACCTCTCGGTTTCAGAATGGATTATTTTGTAAGTAGAATAAAACAATAGTTCTTTCCTGAATATACAATTATATATTTTAAAAGTTCCTTTGGAAGTGCAAATTGTCACAAAATACTTTTGAGGACATATGGTGCACAAAACCAGCTCTCTTTGCAATTACTCAGAAAACTTTAAATATTTAAGTTATAGATATACCAACATTATTTATTGATTTATATTTCTCTAAGAAAAATGATCTAAATGTATATTATCTTATTCTTCCTCTGGGATAGTACCTAATTAGGAATACAGTTAAAATGTATTTTTTCCATAAAACACCTTATAATTGCCTCTTGCTTACATCACTCCTGTTTTTTGTCTTAACCTTGCCAATCGTAGACTTTATATACCTTCATTATAGTTTGCATTATTGGAAGGCACGTATAAAAGATACTATATGAGAGAGGTGGCCCTGCAAGTGGACTTATTGTACATTCATTTTTGGTTATGGAAGGGAGAATAGAACAAAAAGTGGCTGTACATTAAACTAGATGTAGTAACTAAAGTGTGCTACATCACAGTTAACAAAAGTACTAGAGATTGCTTTAGTCTAATAACAGGTGATGTTTTTGATAATTTTGCATCATGAAATATTTGTGCCTATACAAGGTTTATTTTTGTTTTTATTTTTATTTTTTCTTTTTCTTTTCTATCATACAAAGTTTAATACTTTGCCCAATTTTTGTAAACATATTTAGCTTCTAAATTTAAATGAATAGTTACCCTTATTATATTTTATCTTACTATACTTTATGCTTACTCTGGAAATGACTGCATACTATTGTAAAAGAATCTAATTACATTTAAAAATAAATTCTAAATATAAGAACTAATAGCTTAATAATGTTTTAATTTTAGTATTTTTCTATTTATTTCATGTGTATTTTGGACCCCTTTTCCTTTCTTTTCTTGCATACTTATGAATTAATCAAGGAGTTGTGTGAGTATCCATTTCCCCTTGAGCTTTTTAAGTTGTGCAATTGTTATTTTCTATATTTTCTAGAGATCATTCTAGAGATCATAATTAGTATTTTTCACTTAGCGTATATAGTAAATAATTTTAGTAGTACATAAAAAATGTGAGGATCTTTTGACAGAGTATAGCTGTTGAAATTCTGAAGTATTTTGTTTTATTGTGTTTCCATCTCCAATTCAAATATATAAACTCATAAAATCTTGTTATAATTATTTTATGAAATTAGCATTAATTTTCACTTGCTACTTGTTAGACTTTCCATTACTCCATATTTCCTGCATCCACGTGCTCTATTTACTATAATTTTACTTTGGCCTAAGAAACTCCCTGTAGTATTTCCTTAACTGCAGGCCTTTTAATAACAAATATTTTTGTGTTTTTTTTCCTTTTGTAAACATATTTCTTAATGTGACTTTCATTTATTTACATAGATGACACAGATATAGATATATAGATATCTATATTAACAATTATAGAACCATATCCTTTCATCATGTTAAATACATCAACCCACTGTTTTCTCATCTCCAGATTTGAGTCAGGTCCATCTAATTTGTTTTCCTTTGAAAATACTGTGTCTGCTGTGATATGTGTGCTTCTGGTGCCTTTAAAACTTTTTCCCCCTTTGATTCTGTTTTGTCAGCAGTTTGATTGTATCTATGTATGGTTTTATTTATGTCTATCGCTTGGGCTTGCTGAGCATTTTGAATCTTTGGATACTTTTAATCAGCTTCGGGAAAAAAGTTTAGTTATCTCTTTAAAATTGTACCTTATTCTCTCTTCTCTCATTTTATGACTCCAATTACAGGTATGTTAAATATTTTTGTCACATTAACTATATTTTAAACTATTTAAAACATAATCTTCATCTTTTGTTCACTGGCATAAATGTCGATATTTCTAAAATCACATTTTCCTCTTCTCTGTGAGATACCTGAAATGACCACTTAGCTTTTAGACACCTCAAACCTGCTTTTTTCCTGGTTTCTAGGAGATTTTCCTTGTACATGTGTACTTTAGGAGTCAGTCAATGCTTTGAGGGGAAATTTTGCTCAGAAAATAGGCTTCTGCAATGTGTATTCTTTGCTCCAGGAAGTTAATCGCTCAAGTCAGGCTGCCATGTTTATTCTCAGCTATTGTTAAGACATTTTTTAAATCATATATATTTTTAGTGAATCGATTAGTTCAAATCCAGTCGAGCTGTCACTGCTGAAAGTGGCAATTATTCTAATTTTGTATTAAACATTCCCAATTAGATTTTGTACCTACCACTTTACTAAAAGAACTCATGTCAAGATCATCAATAGTCCCCATAATACAAAATAAAATGTTCACTCTTCACTGATTGTTTGACTTCATCTACCAGCACTATAAGGCACAATTGATCACTCTTTTTTCTTGTAAACCCTTTCTTCACTGACCTGCCAGTAAACCACTGTCTCCTGGTTTTTCTCCTACAAGACATGCCAATTGATAGTTGATCCTTCTCAGTCTCCTTTGCAAATTTCTTATCTTCTTATTACCTGCTAATTTTTAGCTACCTATGACTGAATATTTTTCTTGTAAATTTACTTTTTCGAAGATCATTTTCAAGATAATGGCTTTAAATACCCTTCATATACTGATGATTCTCAAATTTCTGTTTTTAGCTGAGACTTCTTTCCATAAATTCACATGCATATATTCATCTTCCTAATGAGCATTTTCATACTGATGTATACTGTACATCTCAAGTCATCATTAATAACATTAAACGCCAGGTCTTCTGCCCAAGACCCTGCTCCTCTCTGAACATTTTCAATCTCACTTGAGAGCAATTTCATCCTCCCAGTGTTTTAGCTCAAAATCCTTGAATTCATACTTGTTTCAATCTATTTCTTAACATCTCACATCTAGTCCTTCATGATCCATATTACATATATTTTAACATATATTCAGAATCCACCCATTTCTCATCAGTTGTACTGCCATTAGCCTATTACCCTGGAAAAAGCTACCATTATCTCTCTCCTGTATTACTTTCAAAACCCCCTAAGCTTTCATATTTTTACCCTTGTCATACTGTGGTCTGTTACTCATTTAAATCTTATTTCAGATCATCTCATTAATCATTTCACAACTCTACAGTGATTCCCCAAATAATTCAGTTTAAAACCAGCATCTTTACAATGGTCTGCAATATTTAATATGATCTACCCACCACTTACATCTCTCAGCCTCTCTCCTGTGACTTTACAAGCTTTGTTTTCACTCTACCTCAGCTATAGTGTCCTCCTCACTATTTCTCAAAAAGTGAGTTCTACTGTTGAAAACGTTTTCTTAATATATCCATATGTCTAGTTGTTTTTTTTGCCTTTTTCAAGCAAGAGGGATCGGACTTATTCTCCCACATGCAACAACAACAAACAGGATAAGAATGTGAAACAAAAGATTTCCAACCCAGTATATTAGGAAATAAAGAACAGTGATCTCTAAGACATTGGAAACACATGAGGTCAGCCTTCAACTGCCGCCACCATTCACTTACTGCCCGAAGACAGGGTAAGCAAGATGGAGTCCAAAAATTTCCCTGATGTGCGCAAACAAAGTCAAAACTTCAAGGAAATGAAGGCAGGACTGAATACTAGAAAGGATAAAGCTGAAATTAAGAAAATTGCAGAGATATGCAGAGAGATCCCCTAGACTATTCAACAAATACCTGGCTAGTACAGGTAGTGAAGAAAACATCTGAGGCTGGCAAAAGAAGGAACAATATTTAGCACTTATACAGAGCTGGAAATTGTAACTATTTCCCACCAGCCAAGTAGGAAATTTTCTAAGTCATTGAGAATTGCATAGATTACTCTAAAGGGTCTTGCCTTAGAAGTGAGGTAAATTTAGATCTAGATTAAATGCTGCCCCGCTTCCACCTAACAAATTTGTAGTGCATGAACTTAAAGGATCAGAGAGATACAATAGAGAATTGCATCCAGAACACAGTTCAAAAATATTTATAAATATCTAGTGCCCAGCAAGGTAAAATCTATGAGTTCTAGCATACAGGCAAAAATTACCATATATGATAAGAACCAGGAAAATATAATCTTTAATGAAATGAATGATCAGTCAGCCAAAACTGACCCAGAACTGACACAGATATAAAAATTAGGAGACAAAAAATACATATTATAACTGCATCCCAATGTTCAAAAAGTTAAATATTTAAAAGTTATTAAAATGACACATATTAAACATCTTGAGACTAAAATTGCATTGATTGAACTGTTCTCAAGTTGATTTACCAAAGACTAGCTGTTATGCAAGAAAAAAAAACGTGAAAATATAATAATATAAATCATCCAAAATTATATATAACAATTCAAAATGAAGATGACATTAGTGAACTCTAGCAGATGTCAAATTACTACCTAATATATCCATAGTGGAGATTCTGAAGAAAAGAAAAAAAGTAAAAACATTAACAACATTTAAAAAATGAATGCTAAAAAAATTTTAACTTGATTAAAACTGTTAAGCCACATATCTAACAAGCTCTACAAAATCAAAATTCAAGGAATATGACCTATCACAAGTCACATCACAAATCCCTCAAAATCAGTGATAAATTTAAAAATTTAAAAGCAGCATTAGAATAAAATTTCATGTTACATCAAAAGAATATAAATAAGAATAGCTGCATATTTCTCACCAAAAACAAGAAAAGTGAGAAAACAGTGGAGTGAGAGAAAAAATAAACAAAGCAAACAAAAAGAAATAAGCAAAAACATCAACCTAGAATCTGCAAACATCAAAAAAGTCATACAGAAATGAAGTGAAAATGAGGACTTTTAGAGACATATAGAAATTTAATGAGATGTCAATACTCAACTAACATTTTTATTTTACCTATAGCCTATCTATACATTTATATTTAAGGTGGATTTCTTATAAAGAGCATATGTGTGTCTCTTCCTTTTTTACCTAGTATCTATCTTTTGATTTAAAAAACTTACACTAATGAATAAGTAAAAATAAAATCGTTATTTTTATGATTAGATTTAAATATACCAACATAAGTTTTAAAATTTGTAATATTTAGTTATCGCATATTTTCTTTTTTTCTGCTTTCTTTTTAGTTTAGCAAGTATTTTTATTATTCTTTTAATCATCATTAGTGGTTTGATAATTACTTTTCTGTTTATAATTGTTAATTATTTGAGCTAGAATACCTAATATACACATTTTTTAAATAAAGTAACTTATCTAAGTTACTTATCTTAAACCTAAGTATTACTTGAATATGGTTTTAAAAATTTAAATAGAACAAAATGCTTAAAAGAAGAAGCAAATTTGCGAGGACTCAGAGGCCTTTGACCCAGAAAACTGCTTTAAACATTTTTTTTAAAGTTTTTCTGTTGATTACCTCAACGTCTCTAAGTGTATCTGTTCTGCTTTTAAAATATATTTTTTATTTACTTAGTTTTCTTTATATTTTTATCACCAATTGATGTAGTTTTCAGACAGGTGTAGATTTGTCTTATCAGCTTCCCCAATTTTTCTCCCTATTTAAAATGCTATTTATATCTATTGTTTTAGATCATCTACCGATTAATGATGAAATATCGAACATTAGATAAAAGAACTTTCATTATTTTTTCAAAATAACAATCTTAAGCAATGCTAAGCAAAATGAGCAAAACTGGAGTCATCACGCTACCTGACTTTATACTACATGGCTACAATAACCAAATTTATATGGTACTGGTGTAAAAACAGACACATAGACTAACGGGACAGGATAGAAAACCCAGAAATAAAGCTGCACATCTACGACCGTTTGATCTTTGACAAAGTTGACAATAGTAAGCAATGGAAAGGACTCCCTATGCAGTAAATGATGCTGGGATAACTGGCTCATCACAGGCAGAAAATAAAACTTGACCGCTAACTTTCATCATACACAAAAATTACCTCAAGATGAATTTAAGATTTACATTGAATATACAAAACTCTGAAAGTTTTAGAGTAAAATGTGGGAAATAACTATTCTGGACATTGGACTTGGCAAAGAATTTATTACTAAGTGCCCAAAAGCAATTGCAACAACAACAACAAAAAACTTGACAAAGGGGAATTGATTAAATTAAAGGCTTCTACACATCAAAAGAAATTATCAACAGAAAAAAAATACTGTACAGAATGGGAGAAAATATTCACAAACTATGTGTCCAACAAAGGCTTACTATCCAGAATCTATAAGGAACTTAAACAATTGAACAAGCAAAAAACAAATAACCCCATTAACATTTGGAAAAGACATGAACAGACATTTTTCAAAAGAAGACATATGTGCAGCCAACGAATACAAGAAAAATGCTCAATATCACTAAACATCAGAGAAATGCAAATCAAAACCACAATGAAATACCAGCTTATACCACTCAGAAAGACCATTTCTAAAAAGTCACAAAATAACAGATGTCGGCAAATATGCAGACAAAAGAGAATGCTTACACACTGGTACTGGGAATGTAAATTAGTTCAGCCACCGTGGAGAGCAGCTAGGACATCTCTCAAAGAACTTAAAACAGAACTATCATTCAACCCAGCAGTCCCATTACTTGATACATACCCACAGGAAAATAACTCATTCTATCAAAAGTCACATGAACTTGTATGTTCATCACAGTACTCTTCACAATAACAAAGACATGGAATCTACCTAGATGCCCATCAACAGTGGAATGGATAAAGCAAATATGGCACATATACAGCATAGAATAATATGCAGCCATAAAAAGAAATGAAATCATATCCTTTGTAGCAACATAATTGCAACTGGAGGATATAATCCTAAGTGAATTAGCACAGGAACAGAAAATCAAATACCATATGTTCTCACATGTAAGTGAGAGCTAAACACTGAGTCCCCATGGATGTAAAGATGTGAACAATAGACACTGGGGACTACTGTTTGAGGGTGGGTAGGAGAGATGCCAGGGTTGAAAAACTACTTATCGGGTACTATGCTCACTACCTGGGTAATGAGATTATTCATGCACCAAACACTACTGACATGCAATTTACCCATGTAACAAACCAGATACTATGCTCACTACCTGGGTATTGGAATTATTCATACACCAAACACTACTGACATACAGATTACTCATGTAACACACCTGCACATGTACTCCATGAAACTAAAAGTTGAATTGTTTTTTAATTTCTCTTTTTTTATATGTCATTTCCAAGACTTTTCATTTCTTCATGTAGATCCCAATTTTTTTTTCTACTGGAAGAACTTCTTTTAATACCATTTTAGCACAGATGTGATGGCACTGAATTTCTGTTTTGATTTGTTGGAAAAGTTCTCTATTTTTCTCCTAATTATAAAAATTATCTTATTGGAGATAGAATTTGGGAAGAACAGTTTTTTTTCTTTTCAAATACATTAAATATATCCCTTCATTTTCTTCTGGCTAACATTATTTCTGACAGAAAGTCAATCATTTCTGTTTTCATCTTCTTTATGTGATGTTCCATTTTTCATGGGTACCTTCATGAGTTTGTTTTTATTTTTTATTTCTATAAGTGTTTATATGATATAATCAACTTTTGGGTGTGTTATGTGTTTGTTTATGTCTGTGAGTATGTGTGTGTACTACTTATCTTGCTTGGAATTTTCTCTCAGTGCTTCCTAGGTGTACCTTTCAATAGAATTAATTATTTTACGAAAAAATATCTGTTATCTCTTCAACTATATCATCTTTTTTCTTCTAGGATACTGATAATAGATTTGCTAGAGAATTTGATATTATCCTCTAGCTCTTGGAAATTTTGTTATTTATTTATGTATTTTTTTCGTGTTTTCTTTTATTTGTCTCATTTTGGGTGACTTTCACTGATCTAAATTCATATTCCTCAATCCTTTTTTCAGCTATGTTACATAATTAGTCTATCTAAGGGATACATTTTTGATGTAATTTTTTGAGCTTTTTCATTCATCTCTTTCTTTTTTTAACTTTTATTTTAGGTTCAGGGATATATGTGCAGGTTTGTTATATAGGTAAAATGCATGTTGCAGGGGCTTGGTGTACAGATTACTTCATCACCTAGGTAATAAACATAGTACTCAATAGTTTTTTGATTCTAACCATCCTCCCACCTTCAACCTTCAAGTAGGCCTTGGTGTCTGTTGTCCCTTTTTTTGTGCCCAAACATATTCAATGTTTAACTCCTACTTATAAGTGTGAATATGCAGTATTTGGTTTTCTGTACCTATATCAGTTTACTTAGGATAATGATATCCAGCTCCACCTATGTTGCTGCAAAGGACATGATATCATTCTTTTTATGGCTGTATAGTGTTCCATGGTATATATGTACCATATTTACTTTATCCAGTCTACAATTGATTGGGCACTTGGGTTAATTTCATGTCTTTGCTATTGTGAATAGTGCTGTGACAAACGCACATGTATGTGTGTCTTTATGGTAGAACAATTTATATTCCTTTGGGTATATACCCAACAATAAGATTGATGAGTCAAAAGGTAATTCTGCTTTAAGTTCTTTGGGAAATTGTCCAACTGCTTTCTACTGTGGCTGAAGTAATTTACATTTTCACCAGCTCTATGTAACCATTCCCTTTTCTCCACAACCTCACCAGCAACTGTTATTTTTTGGCTTTTTAATAATAGCCATATTGACTGATGTGAGATGGTATCTCATTGAGGTTTTGATTTGCATTTCTCTAATGGTTAGTGGTGTTGAGCATTTTATCACATGCTTACTGGCCACGTGTATGTGTTCTTTTGAAAAGTGTGTGTTTATGTCCTTTGCCCACTTTTTAATGAGGTTGTTTGGTTTTTGCTTATAAATTTAAGTTCCTTATAGATTCTGGATATTAAACCTTTGTCACATGCATAGTTTGCAAATATTTCCTCCCACTTTATAAGTAGTCTTTTTACTATGTTGATAGTTTCCTTGGCTGTGCAGAAGCTTTTTAGTTAAAAAGATCTCATGTGTCAACTTTTGTTTTTGTTGCAATTGCTTTTGGCATCTTTGTCATAAAGTCATTGTCAGGTGCTATGTCCAGATGGTGTCCCTTGGTTATCTTGCAGGATTTTTCTACTTCTGAGTTTATCTAAGTCTATAATCCATCTTGAGTTGATTTTTGTATATGGTATAAGGAAAGGATCTAGTTTTCATATTCTGCCTATGGCTATGCAATTATTCAAGTACTATTTACTTAATAAGGAGTCTTTTCTCCATTGCTTGTTTATGTCAGTTTTGTTGAAGATCAGATGGTTGTAGGTGTGTGGCATTATTTCTGGGTTCTCTATTTCGTTCCATTGGTCTCTATGTCTGTTTATGTAACAATATATCATGCTGTTTTGGTTACTGTAGCCTTGTAGTATAGTTTGAAGTTTGGTAATGTGTTGTCTCCTGCTTTATTCTTTTTTCTTAGGATTGCCTTGGCTATTCAGGCTTTTTTTGGTTCCATGTCAATTTTAAAATTGTTTTTTCTGATTCTGTGAAGAATGTCATTGATAGATTAATAGGAATAACTTTGAATCTGTAAATTACTTTGTACAGTATGGCTATTTTGACATCCCTTTCTCATAGTTCTATCACTTTGTTTAAATTCTCCACTTATTAAGTTGTTTACTTTGTCCCTTGATAATTGATTGAATCTTCTTTGATTTTTATACGTCTCATAAATGTTATTGTGTAACGTATATTTCATGTAGAACAAGATAAACAGGTAAATAGTGTTTTTACCTGAAAATGGACACCTGTCATCTCAGGCAATTGTATGGAGAATTGAGTCAATAATTCAGGACTTGAGCTTAATTTGGATTTTAGTTGCTGTTATTGTTGTTGTGGTTGCCTTCAGACTTCAGGTTTCCAGTTCATCTAATGATGCCATGTGCTTTTGATAAGTTTGCCAGAGGGTTTTTCTCAATATTTGAGTCTAATTCTCAGCTTTATGTTGTATAGTTGGGGTTTGCTTTTTGTTAATATAGAATAGCAGACAAGGGTTACACAAAAAAAGGAAAATTTTAGTTTAAATTGACATGTGAAAATAGGTTAAAAATATCTTAAGATAGTATTGCCAAATTGAATAAAATTATTAAAAATTTAGTGCATTTTGATAAATTGATTTTATCCTGTGCATACAAGTTTGGTTTACTACTGGCAAATCTACTATGAAATTACACTGTACTAAAAGATTAAAATGAAATACTATTTAATCTTTTCATTAAAATCACAAATGTAAATTCAATAAAGTACAATGATGATTAATCAAAAAAACTCTTAATAAACCAGGAGTAGCAGAGAACTTTTATAAACTGAATAAAGAATACCTACTTCAAACCTAGTGTAATTACCATGTTTAATATTTAGAAAGTCAGGAGCATTCTTTTAAAAATCAAGTGCACTAGAAGATAACCAACTCTCTCTCATTCTATTCTTTATTGAATGTTTATTCTAGACAATGCAGCAAGACAGTAAAGTGTAGTAAAAATATAAGGGCGAGAAAGAAAGACTCAAAAATGTTATATTGCATTGATGGTATAATTATCTTCATAGGATAATAAAATAATGTAGTGCCGAGTCAATTAATTTTAGATTGCACCTTTTTTTGCACATCACACAGGGAAATCAGTTCACACAGAAGATTTTAAAAAGCAAATATGAAAATTAAACTTTTAAAACATTAGGAAAGGAATGGCAGATATATCATTTTGCAGTAGAGAGAAATATCTTAAGTAAGATTTTAAATTTTGCTTGAAAAAAATGGATAAATACAACTGCATTATATAACACTCTTCAAAATACTGAATCCAAATTTATTCAGTACATTTAACTAAAAATAATATTTAATAGATGATTAGCTCCTGAAAACCAGTTTCAAAAAACACAGATAATGAACTATTAGGTATTTTGCTGGAGAAGAAAGAAAAAAAAGGTAGGAAAAAAAATCCACTTTGAAATAATAGAAAACTATTTCATTCGTGGAAATTTTTACTTTTTCATTAGGGGAGTTCTCTACTTTAAATTTCTCAAATATGAAAATATTTTATATTTTTATTCCACCTATGCATTAAAATATCAATTTAATTATTTTATCTTTTTTTATTCTGTAGTCACTGTAATTATCTTAATATGTTTTCAGTCTCAATAATTTAATTATCAAGAAGTCTATTCTGTTTGTAATTTATGTATTATGTATTAGTTGTTTAATCCCATTTTCTTGATCTTTGCCTTGTGTCTTTAACTTATCCAAGTTCATTTTGTCTCATCAGACTTATTTTTTAAATTATCTCATCTCAAAATCTTATCTTTTAACACAAAGCACCCAGGGATTTTTAGTCTGTTTCCCTAGTTATTCTTTCTTCTAAAGTTTATTATCACTAATCCTTTGTATGCTTTATACCCTACTTTTATTTTTCCCCTGGTATGTTAGCATGAGTTATTTTGTTTTTAAACTGTAATTTCCTTCTTGGAGCTTTCTCTGGTATTCCATTTGCTGTGATATGATAGAGGTTTTTTTTTTCTCTGTTATATATGTGTTTTGTGTGTGTGAGTGTGTATGTGTATTCAGAAAGGAATATTCAGAAATCTCTTGATATTTTAAAGTTTAATATTCAACACATTAAAATTATAAGTAAAATATTTATTCAATAAACTTCTAAATCTAGCATAAAAATTATGCCATTGCATTTATATATCAAGCAAGTATTAATAATTACATTTAAGGGTACTTTAAGTAACATAAAGTTCATTTGCAAACAGGGAATTAAACTTTTAAAAATATTTTAAAATCAATTACAGTTTTTTTTTTTTTTTTTTAGACAGAATCTTGCTCTGTTGCCCAGGCTGGAGTGCAGTGGTGTGATCTCAGCTCACCACAATCTCTGCCTCCTGGAGTGATTCTCCTGCCTCAGCCTCTTGAGTAGCTGGGATTATAGGTGCAAGCCACTAGGCCAGGCTAATTTTTGTAATTTTTTTTTTAGTGGAGATGGAGTTTCACCATGTTGGCCAGGCTGGTCTTGAACTCCTGACCTCAGGTGATCCACCCACCTCAGCCTCCCAAAATGCTGGGATTACAGGCATGAGCCACCGCACCTGGCTGGATTTACAGTTTTGCTGTATTAATTCATTTTTTATTTTCTCATTCATCATCAATTAACTTACGAGTGTAACATTCCTGAGTAGTCAAATAACATTTATAGTTTGAATAAATTAACTCTATTATAAAATGTTAGTTATTTTATATTTCCAAATTTTGTAGAAATTGTTCAGATTTCAGCTTATCACAAATATTACTTAATCGTGTGTTTTTTAAAATTAAAATGACAAGTCTCACATACTTTCTAATAAGTAACATTATCTTAAATTATGTCTATATTTGGAATATCAAAATGTATATTTCTTAATATAAATTTTTAATTTATAGTGTTAGTATCACAAATACACATATTCATGTACACATTTATAAATTTTTTCATGAATTATTTTGCTTATAATATCAGTTGACTCTATGTTTCATATTAAATATTAGCCCTTATACTGATAGATTGTTGATGATATTAATAAAATATACCAAATCATATTAATAGTCTTGAGGCATTGATGTCTCTGCCCTTTTAACTAGACAGTTTAAATTCTTAAACTACTGCACATAGAGTTCATTCAAATCCCCGGACTTTGGAGTCTCACTTTTGTTCCAAATATATGTGAATGCTTCTCTAACAGTAAAATAATTTAAGGTTGAAAAAATTTTCACTTTTTTATAGTCTTAAGAAATCACAACTTAAAGATATTAAAATAATACATAAATCACTTTTTTATATCGCTCATGATGTTGTATGACAATTCTCATTTTCCATACATATACTTTTTAATAAATGTTTTTAATTTTATCAGTGATTTAGTGTTCGAGGTCTGGGTATTTCTATTTTTTCTATTTTAGCTGTTTATTATAATTAAATTATAAATTCAAATGCAGTTGTGAGAAATAATATAGAAAGGACATGTGTTTCTATTTATAAATTTCTCTTAATGATAAAATTTTGCAAAATTATAGTACAATATCCCAACCTGGGTATTTCCATTGAGAAAGTCAAGCTACAGAACATCTCCATCAAGACAGGAGCCCACATGTTATACTTTTATATTTAAACCCACTTCCCTCCTACATCTAGCTTTTCCTTTTTGCCTGGCAACCACTAATTTATTCTCTATTTCTATATTTTTGTCTTTTCAAAATAGGTGTAATCATGCCAAATGCAACCATACAATTTTGAGGAATAGCTTTTTTATTCACTCAGCGTAATTCTCTGGAGATTCATACAGGTTTTTGTGTGTATAATTAGTTAATTGTTGTTTGTACCTGAGTAGTATTCCCGGGTCTTGATATACTGCGATTTGCTTAACATCTTGGAGTTTTTCCTATTTTTGGCTATTTATTGCAAAGAAAGCCACTATAAACATTCAATTAAAGCATTTTGTGTGAAAATTAGTTTTTATTTTCCTTCAATAAGTGCCTAGAAGTTCACTAACTCTGTCTTAACAGTTACGTGTTTATTTTTTAAGAAATTGCCACATTGTTTTTCAGAGCACCTATAGTATTTTAGATTCCACCCAGGAAAGCGTAACTTATGTGATTATTTGGCATCATCACAAGCATTTGCTAATGTCCCTATTTTTATTTCAGTAATGCTGAATTTGTGCACACCGATATCTTATTGTGGCTTTAATATAGCTAATAACTGGTGATATTCAGTATATTTTTCTTATGTTTAATTGCCATCTGTATATCCCTTTCGGTGCTATGTTTGATAATTTATTTTGCCTACTTTCTGTTTCTTTACCTGTTAAGTTTGGAGCATTCTTTACATATTCTGCATGTAAGTCTTTTGTTGGAAACACAGTTTGCAACACTATTCTTCCAGCTGGTATTCGTCATTGAATCTGCTGACAGGGTCCTTTGCAGAGCAAAGTATTTCAGTTTTAATGTAGCCAAATTTATCATTTTTCCCATGTTATTGATTGTGCTTTTTGTTTCCAGTTTAAGAACACTTCAAATTCCTAGTCCTGCATCATTAAGATTTTCTCTTTTCTTTCTTATTCTTTTTTCTTCATTATACAGTTTACATATAAATCTATAATCCACTTTGAGATATTTTTTTTAATAAGGAGAAAAACTTAAGTTGAGAGTTAAGTTAGTTTTTTTCTGGCCTATAGATGTCCAATTGAAAATGCTTTAGTTTCTCCATTTAAATTTTTTTGCACATTAGTCAAAAATCAGTGGACATAGTTGCATGGCTTTATTTTTTAATACTCTGTTGTGTTACATTTATACTTGTGTCTACCCTTCCTCAAAACAGCATGAGCATTGCCTTAATTACTGTTACTACATATGGAGTCTTGAAATTGGGTACATAGATTTATCCAACTTTGTGTTTCTTTTTCAAAATTGTTTTTACTATTCTGGTTCTCTTTTTCCACATACATTTTAAAATAACTACATTTGTATTTATAAAATATCTTGCTGAGATTTTAATAGAAATTGTGTTATATGTGCATATCAATTTGGAAGGAAATGACATCTCTACTATATTGAGACTTCCAATTCATAATCAAAGTCCATTTATTTAGATAAATGTTTTCTAGTTTTCACCATGCAAGTCCTGTACATATTTTACTAGGTTTATAAATATTTATTTTTTAAAACAAGCCATTACAGATTCTTAGAACACTTATAGATTTTCATTAAGTTGGGCAGATTGTACAGGCATTTCTCATATAATCGATCTCACCCATGTTCACAACTCCCCTTATTAATATCTTGAGTTAGTGAGGTACATTTGTTACAACTGATAAACATATATGGATAAATTTTTATTAACTAAAGTCTATGATTTATATTAAGGAACATTCTGTGTGTTGCAATTCTATGGGTTTTGATAAATCCAGAAAGTCATGTATCTTTCATTACTGTATGAAATAGATTAGTCTGAGTACCCTAAAAATACTCTGTACTATACCTGTTTATTCATCTCCAAGCTTATTACCACCTTCTCTATCTCTGGCAACCACTGAAATTGTTACTGTCTTTATAGTTTTGCCTTTTCCAAAATGTCATATAGTTAGAATCATACAGTGTGTAGCCTTTTCAGATATGCTTATTATAAGATATTTTATCACTAAGCTATATGCATTTTAAGTTCCTCCATGTCTTTTCATGGCTTTAAAGCTCATTTCTTTTTATCAATAAAGAATATTCCAGTTCACGAATATGCTCAGTCTATCCATTCACCTTTTCAATGATTTCTTGGTTGCTTCCTATTTTTTTACCATTATGAGTAAAGCTACTATAAATGTTTGTGTTCAGACTTTTATTGTTGACATAAGATTTCAATTCATTTTGGTCAATACTAGAAGTGTGATTGCTAGATCATAGCCAAACTTTCTTCCTAGGTGGGCGTACTATTTTGATTTCCTCCCACTAATGAATGATTTCTTATTGTTCTACATCATTTCCAAGATTTGGTGTTATAAGTGTAGGATTTTAACCACGAGGACATATTGTTATTATTCTGCTGAACTTATTCCATTGTTTCTGTTTCTCTTAAAAAATATTGAACAAGACTTGTAGAACTATAAAAGTTTGGTATGTGATGTTACTTATTTCACCTAATATGGACTTTTTCCTTTTCTGTTGTACAACATGAAAGTACACTGTGGCATTGAAAAGTACAAAGAATGAACTTAACCCTTAAAATAACCTGTAGGGGTTCTTTTTTTTTTTTTTTTTTTTTTTTTTTTGACAGAATCTCACTTTGTCATCCAGGCTCGAGTGCAGTGGCACCATCTCGGCTCACAGCAACTTCTCCCTCCCAAGTTCAAGTTATTCTCCTGCCTCCACAGTGCTCAGCTTGAAGGGATATTTTTAAACAATCATAATAATCATTACAGCATAATTATTGGTAGAATGTTTCTGGATATGACTACTGAGAAAATTCCAACATATTCACATCCAAAAGAAGAACTAGAGTTAAATTTCTCAGAAGGAGCAAAGATTTTCTCCCAAAGAGTAGATGCTAAAGTTAAAGGAGTTTCTATCATCACAAGATGAATAATATTATTTTCCTATTAAAGGCTGAGCAGGAAGTATGCAAATACAGATAGGGACTATGGAACATGACGGAAGCTCAGGGTCAGATCAAAAGGAAATCTAAGCAGAGAAGACCTGAGATAGATAGGTAACTCATTTTGGAATGCCATGTCTGTAATTTATATTTCTTTTATTAACCTTAATTCCTAGTATATTGCTTGGCAGAGAGGTAATAGTGAAAGAATTAGTAGTATAATATTCTTGAAAATTAACTGAGTTAGCATGTGGGGCCAAGATAAGCCATCAGAGATAGGATTATGAGTGGGTGTCTTTCTGAGTAATTTTGGAATTTAATTGGTAGAGGAAATAACAAATGGAACAATTGATTTTAAGATGAGGTTTCCTGATAGCCTAATATCTTAGATTTCTAAATAGATGCCTCTCTTGTTGACATCATCAACTCCCACAAGAGGATCATTACTGCTAACTTGTTAGAGAAAAACAAGAGTTGGAAATTTGGTATACCAGATACAAGGGAAAAACTGGTTTCTCTAATTACATGCCATAAGTTTTCATTTTTAATGAAAATTGTAGTGAGTATTGACATAATGAAATCAAATAAGTGCAGCGGCCTTTTTATTGAACTGTTGATTCCAGGAAGACTCATGTTGGTTGCACCTGAACGTTTGAAACTAGAATACTTTTCTCTTACCTGCATATGGATTTCAAATTATTTGGAAAGTAATAAACCTGGAAATCATATACAACATGGAGTCATAAAAGCAAATGTGGTTTAAGATTTTTTGTTGTACTATTTGTAAAATGTAAGACAAGTAGATATATTATCTTTATTTTCCCAGTTGGCTTAATATACGAAGATTGTACCAGACAACTGATTCTCTAAACCATTTCCATGAAGTTCCATATTCTTGCAAAAATCCCTCAGTGGGATGCTAAAGGTAGTAGTCACAGACATGAAGGTTTCTGAGTCCAAATTCTCTTTCAAACAGAGCACTAAGTTTTAGATTTGCATATTAACAAATAGCCAAGCATAAGAAGAAAGCTTATGTCATTAATAGTAATTGAAAGCATTGAACTTCGCTGCGTACACCAGAGGACAGCCTCCATGGTTTAGAATAAGAGGTGCATTTAAGTGCTGATGAGTCCACTGTAATCTCAGTATTATATATGTGGAGAAGGTATAAGCTGAGCTACAGGTGGAACACATCCTTCCATGTAAGGTAATGTAACACTGGTAAAGTATGTCTAGATATGAACTTTTCACATTACAGTAAATTTTCTGTCACTTTTTTTTAAATCATCAGTTTAAAGAGAGACAGCTTTAGGAAATAACGTCTTCACGGCTTTAATGAGTTAAAGCTATTTCCAAAGGGGAAAAACGCATTAGTAAAATTTAACTCTAGATTTGTAATGTGAAAAGCCTTTTTAAAAAATAAATGTGAACTCTGCAGTAGAAACTCATTAGTATAATGATTCGGCATAGATAATGTGCAATTTGAAAACACAAGGTCTTCGATCTTTAACCTTTCAAATCTCTCTTAGAACTTCTACAGCTTTTTAGAGTCTATTAATGTCTCATTTTTTTCCTGGATTCTTAATTTAGCTCTAGATAGCATATGCAATAGAAAATAGAAACATAAAAAGCCAGAGAGCTATGTTTTATATTAATCAAAAATTTCTGCTTAGGGGAATATAATGTAAATTTAAAAAATACATTTGAATCTTGTATTTACCAAAATTTATCTAAGAATTGGAAAGAAAATAATATCTATCTCATAAGTTTGTTATGATGATGTATAGAAAATGTCTAGATAATATATACCGACCAAGATGGCCTCAACATTTCCTGCAGCATGACTTAATTTTAGACAGTCTTCCTGCAGCTGGGGCCCTGACCTCTGCTCTCCCCCACCCTGTCCCTTGCAGAGCCATTAGCCTAACTACAGATTTCAATCCCTTCCCTTACTTAGTGTATTTACTTTAGAAAACTTGTAAATTCTTTTTCTGCCATTTTTATATGTAATATTTTAAAAAGACTTCTGATAGTTTTACAACAAAAGTTTTTCTCAAAAAAACCTATAGTCATCCTTTTAAAATATATCTTCAAGGAATATACCACCTCTATCTCCCAGGCTCCGTGGAGCCTCACTTCACAGGAGCTCATCCTCCAATTTGTATAACTACCTCTTGTCATGAAGATAAGGCAAAGTTTAGGTGTTCTTAGGGTAAGGCAAATTAGCAAATACAGATAATCTATGACCCTCCAACCCCATTCTTTCCGGCTTTTAACATTTCTCGCAGCTTTGATTTTAAAAGGGGTTGAATTTGGACAGAGTTTTAGTTTCTCTCCTGTATTGCAATAACTTTAAATAAAGTCTTCTCCTCTGTTTAACTTTTTCTAGTGAAATGTTTGCCTTGACAATACCTACAACATCACCTGTGCTCTTGCCTGTACCTCCTTTATAACTCAGGTTTTCTTGCTTGTGCTAAGAATCATAAAGTTCCAATATACACTCATAATATCTACTGTAAGGATTTAGTAAAATAATTTATGCAAGAGTGTTTGGGAGACATTTATTAGTTCTTTTGGTAATAAACAAATAAAAATCCAGAAATTCAAAATAATAAAACTATCAGTTAAGGATGAAACAGTCTTTAGTAACTAACATGAATCTAAAGCATTCATCATAAGAGTATATATCAAAATGTAGAATAAGAAATCTTAGATAATGTGTTGCCAAGAGTTTATATGGACTTGATCTCTGTTTAGAAGCCTTTTTTCATAAGTTTATTACTCCTTAGAAACCAATTTCCAAAACATCGTCATTTAAATCATTATCATCACCATTTTTTACCTCCTCCACATCATCATTATAATGTAATAGAATTCTCATCTAATTTTATAACAACTCTATTTTTAAAGTGTATCCCTTATTTGAATGTGGTTAGGAAATGAATGACTAAAAATTCCTATTAACAAGAAGTGTACTTACATATTAGCCATGATTACTAAAAATTCCTATTAACAAGAAGTATACCCACATATAACAGGATAACATGAGTTGGTGTATGTGAGTCTGCAATGGTAAAAGGTATTAGAAAATATTGAAGAATTTTCTCAGCCTTATTCTTAGCAAAATTCTTGAGGCTCCAATATTTGTTTTTTGAGCAGATTCAATACATTCAGAATGTAGAAACATTTTTCACTATTTCCTGAAAGTTTTCATGAGCTTTAGTATTCACTGCTTATAATCCAACCTATATAACAAAATCAGTACTCATAATTACTTTCCTGTAATGTCTCCCTCTCTAGATTTATTTTCTGCCATTTTCATACCAGGCCTCTAAACGCTATGACCTAAACCTCCGTACAATCTCTATTGAGAGAAATGAAAGTGTCTTGGAGGCACTGCCTTAATTTTTTAAAAGGTCTTGACAAAGAGTTTTACCACTAGTTGTGTGATGTATACTCTGAAGCCATATCTTATTTCAGGGCATTGTAATGTCCCTGGTAAAAAACAGTGTCATATCCTATCCTACCAAGTGCAAGTCCTTTTTACAAATTATATCCCACTTTATTTTTTTCAGAATATCCCTTTCTTATAGTATCTTCTATTCAATTTTAAAAAATCAGTTAATTCTTCCAATATTAAGCATGGAGAACCCTTAACCAAATATAAAAGTTCATTACATAAAATTTTCATCTCCTAAGTTACAGAAGGCCACAATTTTACAAAATACTC